>NC_000004.12:154981987-155285017 GCF_000001405.40 Homo sapiens | reverse complement strand
AGCAGTGTGTAGAGGGAAATTTATAGCACTAAATGCCCACAAGAGAAAGCAGGAAAGATCCAAAATTGACACCCTAACATCACAATTAAAAGAACTAGAAAAGCAAGAGCAAACACATTCAAAAGCTAGCAGAAGGCAAGAAATAACTAAAATCAGAGCAGAACTGAAGGAAATAGAGACACAAAAAACTCTTCAAAAAATCAATGAATCCAGGAGCTGGTTTTTTGAAAGGATCAACAAAATTGATAGACCGCTAGCAAGACTAATAAAGAAAAAAAGAGAGAAGAATCAAATAGACACAACAAAAAATGATAAAGGGGATATCACCACCGATCCCACAGAAATACAAACTACCATCAGAGAATACTACAAACACCTCTACGCAAATCAACCAGAAAATCTAGAAGAAATGGATACATTCCTCGACACATACACTCTCCCAAGACTAAACCAGGAAGAAGTTGAATCTCTGAATAGACCAATAACAGGAGCTGAAATTGTGGCAATAATCAATAGTTTACCAACCAAAAAGAGTCCAGGACCAGATGGATTCACAGCCGAATTCTACCAGAGGTACAAGGAGGAACTGGTACCATTCCTCTGAAACTATTCCAATCAATAGAAAAAGAGGGAATCCTCCCTAATTCATTTTATGAGGCCAGCATCATTCTGATACCAAAGCCGGGCAGAGACACAACCAAAAAACAGAATTTTAGACCAATATCCTTGATGAACATTGATGCAAAAATCCTCAATAAAATACTGGCAAACCGAATCCAGCAGCACATCAAAAAGCTTATCCACCATGATCAAGTGGGCTTTATCCCTGGGATGCAAGGCTGGTTCAATATACGCAAATCAATAAATGTAATCCAGCATATAAACAGAGCCAAAGACAAAAACCACATGATTATCTCAATAGATGCAGAAAAAGCCTTTGACAAAATTCAACAACCCTTCATGCTAAAAACTCTCAATAAATTATGTATTGATGGGACGTATTTCAAAATAATAAGAGCTATCTATGACAAACCCACAGCCAATATCATACTGAATGGGCAAAAACTGGAAGCATTCCCTTTGAAAACTGGCACAAGACAGGGATGCCCTCTCTCACCGCTCCTATTCAACATAGTGTTGGAAGTTCTGGCCAGGGCAATCAGGCAGGAGAAGGAAATAAAGGGTATTCAATTAGGAAAAGAGGAAGTCAAATTGTCCCTGTTTGCAGACGACATGATTGTTTATCTAGAAAACCCCATCGTCTCAGCCCAAAATCTCCTTAAGCTGATAAGCAACTTCAGCAAAGTCTCAGGATACAAAATCAATGTACAAAAATCACAAGCATTCTTATACACCAACAACAGACAAACAGAGAGCCAAATCATGAGTGAACTCCCATTCACAATTGCTTCAAAGAGAATAAAATACCTAGGAATCCAACTTAGAAGGGATGTGAAGGACCTCTTCAAGGAGAACTACAAACCACTGCTCAACGAAATAAAAGAAGATACAAACAAATGGAAGAACATTCCATGCTCATGGGTAGGAAGAATCAATATCGTGAAAATGGCCATACTGCCCAAGGTAATTTACAGATTCAATGCCATCCCCATCAAGCTACCAATGACTTTCTTCACAGAATTGGAAAAAACTACTTTAAAGTTCATATGGAACCAAAAAAGAGCCCGCATCGCCAAGTCAATCCTAAGCCAAAAGAACAAAGCTGGAGGCATCACACTACCTGACTTCAAACTATACTACAAGGCTACAGTAACCAAAACAGCATGGTACTGGTACCAAAACAGAGATATAGATCAATGGAACAGAACAGAGCCCTCAGAAATAACACCACATACCTACAACTATCTGATCTTTGACAAACCTGAGAAAAACAAGCAATGGGGAAAGGATTCCCTATTTAATAAATGGTGCTGGGAAAACTGGCTAGCCATATGGAGAAAGCTGAAACTGGATCCCTTCCTTACACCTTATACAAAAATCAATTCAAGATGGATTAAAGATTTAAACGTTAGACCTAAAACCATAAAAACCCTAGAAGAAAACCTAGACATTACCATTCAGGACATAGGCGTGGGCAAGGACTTCATGTCCAAAACACCAAAAGCAATGGCAACAAAAGACAAAATTGACAAATGGGATCTAATTAAACTAAAGAGCTTCTGCACAGCAAAAGAAACTACCATCAGAGTGAACAGGCAACCTACAACATGGGAGAAAATTTTCGCAACCTACTCATCTGACAAAGGGCTAATATCCAGAATCTACAATGAACTCAAACAAATTTACAAGAAAAAAACAAACAACCCCATCAAAAAGTGGGCGAAGGACATGAACAGACACTTCTCAAAAGAAGACATTTATGCAGCCAAAAAATACATGAAAAAATGCTCAACATCACTGGCCATCAGAGAAATGCAAATCAAAACCACTATGAGATATCATCTCACACCAGTTAGAATGGCAATCATTAAAAAGTCAGGAAACAACAGGTGCTGGAGAGGATGTGGAGAAATAGGAGCACTCTTACACTGTTGGTGGGACTGTAAACTAGTTCAACCATTGTGGAAGTCAGTGTGGCGATTCCTCAGGGATCTAGAACTAGAAATACCATTTGACCCAGCCATCCCATTACTGGGTATATACCCAAATGACTATAAATCATGCTGCTATAAAGACACATGCACACGTATGTTTACTGCGGCATTATTCACAATAGCAAAGACTTGGAACCAACCCAAATGTCCAACAATGATAGACTGGATTAAGAAAATGTGGCACATATACACCATGGAATACTATGCAGCCATAAAAAATGATGAGTTCATGTCCTTTGTAGGGACATGGATGAAATTGGAAATCATCATTCTCAGTAAACTATCGCAAGAACAAAAAACCAAACACCACATATTCTCACTCATAGGTGGGAATTGAACAATGAGATCACATGGACACAGGAAGGGGAATATCACACTCTGGGGACTTTGGTGGGGTGGGGGGAGGGGGGAGGGATAGCACTGGGAGATATACCTAATGCTAGATGACGAGTTAGTGGGTGCAGCGCACCAGCATGGCACATGTATACATATCTAACTAACCTGCACAATGTGCACATGTACCCTAAAACTTAAAGTATAAAAAAAAAAAAAACTACTAGAAGAAAGCATAGGAAAAACACTACAGGACAATGACTTATGTGAAGATTTTATGGCTAAGACCTCAAAAGCACTGACAACTAAAACAAAAAATAGATATATGGGACTATATTAAACTATAAACTTCTTCACAGAAAAGGAAACAATCAATAGAGTCAAGAGACAGCCTGTTGAATGGGAGAAAAAATTTGCGAACTATTCATCTGACAAGGAACTAATGTCCAGAACATACAAAAAACTCAACAATAAAAAATCAATAATTTTATTCAAAATGGGCAAAGCATATGAATAAACAATTCTCAGAAAAATACATACAAATAGCCCACAGATATATGAAAAAATGCTCAAAATCATCAGAGAAATGCCAAGAAAAAACACAATGAGATATCACCTTATACCAATTACAGTGGCTATTGTTAAAAATACAAAAAAAAAAAAAAAAACAAAAGATGCTGGCAAGGGTGTAGAGAAAGGGGAACTCTTATACACTGTTGGTGGAAATGTTAATTAGTACAGCTACTATGAAAAACAATATGGAGATTTCTCCAAAAACTAAAAATAGAACTGCTATATTGATTCACCAATCCCACTACTGGGTATCTATCCAAAGGAAAAGAAATCAGTACATCAAGGGGATACCTGCACTCACATGTTTATTACAGCACTATTTACAATAGCAAAGATATAGAATCAACCCAAGTGTCCATCAATGGATGAATGAATAAAGAAAATATGGCATATATATGCATGGAATACTATTTAGTTATAAAAAAGAATGAAATCATTTTATTAGCAGCAATATGGATGGAACTGGAGGTCACTGTGTTAAGTGAAATAAACCAGGCACAGAAAGACAAATATCACATGTTCTCACTCATATGCGGGATCTAAAAAAGTTGATTTCATAAAACTAAGAGTAGAATGATAGATACTAGAGGCTAGAAAGGATGGGTGGGGGTAGGGAAATGAAGACAGATAGGTTAGTGGGTATAACCATAAAGTTAGACAAAGGACGTAAGTTCTATTGTTCGACAATAGAGTGACTATAGTTAACAACAATGTATTGTATATTTCAACGTACTTAGAAGAGAAGGCTTCAATTATTGCCAACACATACAAATGAAAAATACTCAAAGTGGTGGATAACTCAAATACCCTGACTTGACCATTACACATTCTAAGCATGTAACAAAATATCACATGTACCTCATAAATCCATAAAACATTATGTATCAGTCAATAAATAAAAGGTAAATTTAAAAAAGAAAAATAGTAGGAAAGAAATTGGATATGTGTGAATATTTCAATTGTCACAAGTGTTTGACAGCAAGTGAAAAAGCTCTAAGTATGCAGCTGTCAGCACAGAGAGACCCTCCTTCTTCAACCACACTCATCCCTGTTCTCCTTTGCCCTTCCAAGATTTCTGAATGGGCAGGAGGTTTTTGTCCATGTGTCCCCCGGGACCAAGCTAGATCTGATAAATCATCTAGGAGGATGAGGAAGCCCCCAAACTAGTCAGGATCGTATTTGGTATGTACAGCTTTAGAGCTCAGCACAGGAGAAAAAGGGATTCAAAAAAGTGAAAAAACGTTCTAGGTTAATTAGACTATAATTTTGAAATGTGAATCGTTGCCCAAATATTATGTACTTAAGCATCTTTCTGATTTTTTTACCCCATGCCTCTGCCTTCCTACCCTTTCTCTGCTATACACTCCCTTTTTCCTCCTTCTCCTCTCTCATTTTTTCTCCACCCAGATCATTATTTTGTGTGTCTGTTCAAGTCAACTAGGCCAAATGAAGAGAGAAGCACCTCAGACTTCATTTGTCTGCAAGGAAATTTGAGTTACTGAGTTTAGAGGATGTATCGGTTTTCTATTGCTGCAAAACAAATTTACCATGAATTTAGTGTCTTAAAGCAATGCACGCTTGTTATTTCATAGCTTCTGTGTACCAAGAACCTGGGAAGAGTTTAATTAGGTTCTCTACTTAGGGTTTCACAATCAAGGTGTTGGTGAGGATGTATTCTCATCTGGAGGCTCTACTGGACAAGAGTCTACTTCCAAGCTCACTCAGGTTGTTGGCAGAATTTACTCCCTTTATCTGGTAGGATTAAGAGGCCTAGGTGCTTGCTAGGTATTGATGGTAATGACATATAATGAGGCTGCCCTCAGCTCCAGAGGACACACACAGTTTTAGAGGCTGCCTTGGGTTCCTTGCTATATGGTCTTCCCAACATGGCCACTTACTGAAGCCAGCAAGAAGTATCTCTAGCATGAGTCATATATATGTATATGTATATATATATTTTTTTATATATATATTTGCAGTGTTCTTACCCAGTCTCTCCTGTGAATATTATATATATATACATATATATATGTATATATATATTTACAGCCTTCCATCTTGCATTCTTTGAGATCAATCTCTGGGAATGGCTATAGGCTGACACTAAGCTTAAATATAACGTAGCATGTTGATACATTCCATGTCTTATACATATAACCAATGTACTCAAGACTGACCATTTATTGCAAATTATGATTCCTTCTAAGGAGGCACACATAGGAGTCTACAGTGGGTTCCTTGATATACTTACACACTGCCCATTTGTGCATTTATGCACAGAAACACTCTACATTAGTGTTTCATCTACAATACCTCCCCACCAAACCTGCTTGAGTCTGGAGACTAGCATATGAAGTTCTTAGTATTTAACTAACACTGCAAAGCATTCAACTAAATACTTTGGCTACAAGAAAAAGCATATCGTGATGACTTCAAATTTGAACCCCAGAAGGATTCCAAGAGGATTTTTACAAGCTATGCTCATAATTTTACTCATTTTTCATAATAGAATTATCAGAGTTGGTAAAGTCAAACAAAACATATCCTGAACTTCAAAAAAATAATGTATTTTCTCCACTGAAGCATATATCGTTCTTACCTAAAAGTATTAGATTTTAAACTTTTTTCTTTCCTATAAGTATCTCTACTTTCACAAAAGAATTAATAGATACAGTGCTTTCAAAGATCATGTATAATGTATTTGAAAATTACTAGCTGGTATATGATAAACACTAAAACAGAGTGATAACATGTCCCCTGCATTGCTCAAATCCCAGATCAGTAGCTTCAGAAAATAATGCCTTAATTTAAAACATGATGCTAGAATTTAATCAAGATTGTCATGGTTTCTTTTGCATTAGCTATTCTTTACATATTTTTGGAAGGAGATGTGCAATTATATTACTTAAATGCTGTTTTGATTTCTCTCCTCCTCCTCATCTTAGCGATCTCACCTGGACTATTGTAATGATCTGCCTACCTTTATCCAGTTTCTCTACAGCGTAGTTTATTCTTTGCACAAGTTCAAATGTGATTTTTCTAATTAAAAATTTTCAGTGGCTCAATGTTACCTGCAGGGGAATGCCCAAATTACTTAGCATGGCATAAAACTCTTTCATTATCTGGCCTCAACCTGCCTTTGCAATATTAATCTTTGTTGCTCTTGTCTAACTGCATAGAACAAATGCTCATCCATCTCTAAATACATGTGTTATATTTACGTAATTATTTTTGTTTATATAAATAGCATATGTGGAAGTTGTTCATGAAACCAATTTTATTCTCATTCTTTTCATGTTGATCTTCAATGTATCGATCAAGACCCAACTAAATTGTCACCTGCCTTGTGAAGGCCTCCCCACTTCTCCCAGGGATTAAAAAGTGTCTATATTCTGATCATATTTTAAACATAGATGTATAATTGAACTATAGTGTAATTATTTGTTAGTTCTCTACACTGACTGTGAAATCCTCAGAGACTTTATCTTATATTTCTTTTATTCTAAGCATGTTCCATGACGTCTGCTTCATGGTGAAAAAAATTCCATAATTGTTTATTAAATTAATACTTTATTTTATGCATATCTCAAGGTAGGTTTTTGATAATTTTTCATTTTTATAATTAAATTAATACATGTGTTTTTATGTAGCCAACTGTGTTATTTTTTCTAATTGAGAAAACTAAGAAAAATATAGAGGTGCTTCAATAAATACACTTTATCGAACATTTATTGAACCTCTATGATACTTAAACAATGCATGTATTGGACACCTACCATGCATAGCACACTGCTTAAACACTTGGAATGATCTAAAAGTAAATGTAAAGAAATATTAGCTAACCCCCCACAATATATCTAGTGCCATCCTAAAGATACGTATAGAATACATGGGAACATAGAGAAATATGTGATTCATCATGTTTAGAGATTTCAGGGAATATTCACCTCTGTAGTGGCATTCAGGGTGAGTCTTAAATTTGAAAAAGGGAAGGAGGTTGGTAGATAGACTATGTCATGTGCAAACATATAAAGACATGTCAGCAGCAGAAGGCATTCACGGGAATGGAGTTTAGAGTGAATGAAGTGGATGTGGGAAAGTTAACCAACAGAATTCTGCAAAGATAAGGTGTGAATTTGGTTGTGCAACAGGAGAGCATAGAAGGAAGTGGAAATTGTACTAAGTTGCTAACAGGAAAGTTTCAAAGCCCCAATTGGCTTCCAGTCAGCATCCATTTCCATCATTATGCCAGTATTAAGCTTCCAAACAACAAAAAGAATAACATCATGTTTCCATTAAGCTTCCAAACAACAAAAAGAATAACATCATGTTTCCATCTAAAATGATGAAATTCTCCTTGTACAAACCAAGATGAGCTTAACTTATCCCCCCAAAATGAAAACACATTTCAGAAAACACCATATTCATATCTGGATCATGTAATTCCTTTTTCCAGTTAGTCACAGCCCTTCTGGGCATTTTATAACCTAGAGACTAAATTATTAAGATAACTCCCCTCAATGCACTTTATGTAAGATATTCAGCTAAATGAAGAAGGAAATTTCATACATAATACATACATACCTGACAAAGAAACAGAAAAACATGCATAGCTACTACTGTTTTCATTTCTATAATTGGTCATGAGGCCATAAATCATATTAGTTCCACTCCTGAGAACTAAGAAGGATTCTTAATCAGCAGAACCCAAGGTTGTGCTAATGGGAATCATGTATTTTTTAAGTGTGTCATTAGGTATAGATCAAAGTTTATCAGACTTACCGTAACTGAAATTTCAGACTGGATTATTCTCATTGTAGGGAGTTTTCCTATTTATTGCAAGATGTTTAGCAGCATCTTTGCCCTCTACCTCTCCCACAGTCATGAAAATAAAAAATGTATCCAGACATTGCCAGATGTCTGGTGGGAGTAGGAGTGCAAAATTAAGCCCAAATGAGAACACTATGTAAAAAAATAGAAGCAATTCCCTTTCCACACCTTGGTTTTTGAACTTACGTATGCTGCCGTTATCTGCAAGCATATATCGCAACCTGATAGGGGAGCTCAGTATTCCTGCAGGATTTGTCAACCAGTAAGGAACATGAATCAGTCAACATTAGGCTATTGTACCATTTCATCAAGTCAGCTAATGGAGTACATGATCATACCCATGAATCTTATGAGTGTTGGCCTTTTTCTTACCTATTTTACTGTAAAATGAGTTCTTTGGTAAGATACCATAAATGGCAGGATACCATAAATGGCAAACAAGGCATTCAGCAACTTCACAAATTGTTATACTTATACAAGCATTGCAGGTAGGAAATACAGATCCATATCCAGACTACATGTCTATTTGAGAACAAATCATCACTGATGCCTCTATGTAATCAACCCACCACGTTATGGTTGATTGGTTCTCTGCAGAATGGGGCTAAGGAAAGGGCTCAACAGTGCTCTCTAATCTTGACAGTTTGGGCACTTAGATGGCCACTTAACGGCCAGATAAAACTTCATGAGGACCAGTCTATTTTGTTGAGTACATTTGTAACTTTCATATCTGCCTCCATGGCCACATAAGCCTATTGTGTAAAAACTGTGCAAGGGAAAGAGGCTGATTAATATTTACAGGACACATCTTCTTGTCAACCTGATCACAGAGAACCTCCTTATTAGTGGGTGCACGTCAATGATTATTTCGCTGAGATGCAAATATCCTCACATTTTGTGACTATTCCAAGAAATTCATTAAGACAACTTTTCTGGACATCTTTTTTACCAACCATCTCATTTCATTCCTTCCAAGTTCATGAGAATCTGACAAAACCTTTAGCCATTTCTAAAAAGTAATGCTATAAACCTATACTTTGGGCCATTTATGTTACTAAGCAAGTGGACAACTGCTTGAAGATTTGCCCATTTGTAGGACTTCCCTTTCCTCTGTCATTCAGGGTCACTCCTGATAAATTATAATGTTGCAGAAATCCACTTCAGTCTAGCAACAAGATACTGGGTGAAATGATCTGTAAGTAAAGTGTGAATCTTTTCGTATTCAATAGGAATTTTAGAAAACTCATCATGAGGTCAAAGGTGAGGATGATGCAAGAAGTGATAGAGGCTACTGGCATCTTACCATTCTGTGAACAAAGTATACCTATAACTTCAGTGTCTATTAGACCTCTCTTTCTCTTTCATATATCCCTTCTACTTGACCATAGAGCTAATATGTTCAACTTTATGCTTTGTTGAACCAGCTGATATCTAATTCATGATGGGCAGCTGAGATTTTATAGTCATTTGGTGTCACTTGGTCAGATATTTGGTCTCTACTACAGACCATTAGTGAGCTAAGAAATGTATGGTTTTGTTTAATTTAGTTTTTTTTAAAAAAGAAGGTTTTTCTTTGAACGTGGTACAGTTTCATTCCAAACCCTATGAAACGGAACTGTGATTCTTGTATTAGAGTTTGCCAGAGACTCCACAAGTAATCTGTACCTACAGCAGACATTTTGAGCATCTTTGAAATTTTGGGTAATAAAACCTAATTGAAAGAAAATTATTTTGGAGATGAGTCTAGCTAGTGAACTTTCTCTGGTTCTGGGATCTACTAAAAAGAAGCCTTCCAAATTTCTTAGTAAATGAGCCAAAGCATCATAGAGAAATGGACATATATTGTCTAGAAATTACTACGAGATCCATCAAATGTTCCTCTTTCTCAGTGGCAGGTTATGCAATGTGCAGCAACTTTTCTTACACTTTGGGTTAGAAAAATTATTATGTCCTAGATAGCTGGATGCCTAGAAACTTCCCTGGAGAGGCAAGCACCTAATTGTAATGGGGTTGACTTCTCTCCCCATGACATACACGTTTTACTATGTGTGTATGCTACTTCCTATTTAAAGGTCAAATAAACACGATGCCATCAATTTAATAAGCAAAAAAATAGATACCTCAAGGAATGGTGAAATATCAAGGTCTTTGCATCCTCTATTAAAACACAGAGTTTGAGAGGTCTTAAAAGAATATACTACTGTCTTTGCACGTGAATACAAACTACTTTTGGAAGTTTTTGCTAATCAAAAAAAAAGTTCTTTTGCCAGATCAAAGCTTAGTTGTGGCCAGTAAAGAAATCACTTCCGGGCCAGGCACAGTGGCTCATGCCTGTAATCTCAGCCCTTTGAGAAGCTGAGGCAGGCAGATCACTTGAGGTCAGGAGTTCAAGATCAGCCTGGCCAACGTGGAGAAACCCTGTCTCTACTAAAAATACAAAATTAGCCGGGTATGGTGGCACACACCTGTAATCCCAGCTACTTGGGAGGCTGAGGCATGAGAATTGCTTGAACTGAGGAGGCAGAGGTTTCAGTGAGCTGAGATTGTGCTAGTGCACTCCAGCCTGGGCAACAGAGTGAGACTCTGTCTCAAAATTAAAAAAAAAAAATAGAAAAAAGAAATCACATCTGGAACGGTAACTGTACTTTGAATCACCACCTTATTAAATTTATGATAATCCCCTGTCATTCCTCAAATTCCCTGCTTTTCTCACATAGTCCTAATAAATGAGTTAAGTAGGGGTGTGATATCATCCCTCATACATCTTTGATGATGGAATAAACTCTAGGATTATTTTTCAAGAATACACTATTGCTTTTCAGTCTACTCTTTTGATGGACAAGGAAAATCAAGCTTCTACTTAATGATTTCTATCATAACAATTCTCATTCCTTGGTTTAAAGAGCCAATCTAGGAATTCTACCATCTGCTCAATATTTCCATGTCTATTCCAATTATGCATTTGTATAACCACGGAGTATGTTCTTAGATTCACTGGACAATTGTAAAATGAGTTCTCACCAAATGTTCACATATCAGCTGGCTGCCATAACTTCTCAACCCCTCATTCTCATCACAGTGATGTTTCTTGGATCACAAAAAATTAAAGTAGTTTAAAGAAATGTTCAAAAGTCCCCCCCAAAGTCTCAATATGTCCTTTTCCCAATGCACTACCACTCTAGTAAATGACTACAAGTCTTTAGTAGAGGCTAGAAGAAAGATTGATAGCACATACCTGTGCCAGTAGTTTCAAAGGGAGCAGACATTTGCTTTATTCAGAGTTCTAAGTTCATGAACAGGCTAAGATCTGGCAATGGTAGAAAAAAAGTTGTATCTTTCTGATATGGACTATCAAGATAGATGTTTCTTATAATGCCAAGGTTTTTTTTCAGTATGCAATTTAAGCAAGACTTGGATTGTGGATTTTTCTATTTTTCCATTAAGTAGTAGCAATTTCTCTTTGTTTCTTTCTTTTATTTATTTAATTTTTTTAGATATACAGGGTCTTACTCTATCATCCAGATCATCCAGACTGGAGTGCAGTGGTGTGATCACAGCTCACTGCAACCTTGAATTCCTGGGCCAACATGATTCTCCTGCCTCAGCCTCCTGAGTAGCTGTTATAGAACTACAGCTGCAGGCAACTGCACCTATTTTTCATATATTCTGAAGCTCTTTTATTAAATGTTATTAAATGTTATTTCATTTGATGAATTGACCACTTTATCTCTGGTGATACTCCTTGCCCTGAAATGTACTTTGTCTGATGTTAATATATCTACTCCAGTTTTCTTTCAATATATACTTGCATGATATGTCTTTTTGTATCCTTTTACTTTTAATTTATCTATGTTTATATATTTAAAGAGGCTTCCCTGTAGAAAAGGATAATTGTTTCTTCTAATTAAAAGGAAATCAGAAAAATGTTCCTTTTACTTGGATTTCTTAGACAATTTAAGTTTAATACAATTATTGATATTGTCGAATTTAAATCTACCATCTTGGTATTTTTTTCTAATTTTTTATATCCTTTTTGTTCCATTTCCCTGCTTTCTTGTTGATTGAGTATATTTTATGACTCCATTTGATCTCTTCTTTTGACCCATTAGCAGTATCTGTTTTCTTTCTTTTTTAGTGATTGCTTTAAAATTTACATAACATATCTTCAACTTATTGTGGCTACTATCAAATAATGTTATATCACTCCATATACAGTGTAAGAATCACACAGTAATGTACTTCCATTTTCCTTATCTTTTGTAATAATTTTATCATTCATCTTACTTCCACATAATTTATAAATCTTTCAATATACTGTTACTACTTTTTGTTTAAATAGTAAATTATCTTTTAAAGAGTCTAAAAAGTGAGGTACAAACTTTTATATTTCCATACACATTACCATTTTAGTGTTCTTTATTTCTTTAGATCCAAATTTCTATCTAGTATCATTGCTTTTCTGCCTATAAAACTTTCTTAACGTTTCATGTGATGCAGGTCTGCTAATAATGTATTCTCTAAATTTTTTAATTTTTAAAATTTCTTCTTATCTCTCTGTAAATAGAATTCTAGGATGACAGTTTTTTTTCAGTACATTAAAATGTCATTACATTGTTTTCTGGCTTCCTTAGGTCATTACAAGGCATCTACAATAACTCTTAAATTTGTTCCTGCATAGACAGATAGATAGATAGAGTCTTTTTTTCACTGGCTCTGTGTGACTTTTTCTTCACTGGTTTTTAGCATTTCTATTGTGATGTACATTGGTAGTATTTTCTCTGTGTTTTATTTTATTTAAAAATGTTTCATCAAATTTAGAAAATTTTGCCTTTATGTCATCAAATATATTTTCTTTCCACTACCCTCAACATCTTTTCTTTTTCCTAGGACTCCAATTACACGTGTGTTGCACCATTTGATAGTGTATCACACATAACTGATGCTCTGTTCAATTTTTTATGTCATATTTTTTCTTTTGGTGTTTTATTTTGGGAATAGTTTTTATAGCTAAGTATTTATGTTCAAAATTTTGCTTCTACATTGTCTAATTTCTATTGATCACTTTCAGTTGTATTATCCATTTCAGATGCTGTATTTTTTATTTCTAGGTTTTGAATTATTTTTTAAATTTTATGTTTCTCTCCTCATCATAATCATGATTCCTCTACTTTTTAAACATATACAGTATATTTAAAACAGCTGTATTAACTTATTTATGTTAATTATCCCATATCTGTATCTCTTTTTAATGATTAAATATTCTCATAACTAAAGGTCTTAATTTTCAACTTACTTGCATGCCTAGTAAATTTTTAAAAATTGAATACTGGCTATTTTCAATTCTGTTTGGTACTAGATTTTTGTATACTTTATCTATTGATGGAGTTTGCACTGTTACACAGTTACCTTAATTTAGTTAAGTTACTCAAGTAAATTATACCCTTTCAAAGCTTGTCTAATGCCTTGTTGGTACGAATTCAGAGAAACCTTTAGTCTAGGACTTATTTGGCCCTACGACTATTGCTCTAGTCTTGTTTAACAGTCTCCCCCATGGCCTCAGACTTCAGTTGCAAGGCAGATCAAAATGTCCTCTGTTCCTGGGAAATATCTCAGTAGATTATAATAAGAGTAAGATCAGGCATAGCAGGAAGTATATAAGAAGTGCTGGGGTTCTGGCTAACTCATTTCTTTGGCTTTTCCAAGGCCCAATCTTAACTCTACTTGTTTTCCAATTCATTGCATTTATTTTTACTAATTTGACATGATACATAAAAGGGAAAATGAATGCAAAGGAACATAAGGGAGCTTTTTGGGATGGCAGGAATGCATATCTTGATTAGGGTGGTTGTTACATATGTGAATACATTTTTCAAAAGCTTTTGGTCTCTACACTAAAAATGAGGCATTTTAGTATAAATTTATCTTAACTGAGTTGGCTTATAAAGAAAAAACTTAGAGAAAGAAGAGCAAGTCTTAGAGATAATGATAATGAACTCAAATTTCTCAAACATTCTAGTATGCAGCTGAAAACAAATTTACTGGAGGTTCTTGGAAGTAATTTGGAAGAATCAGAAGTTAGAGGTTAGAATCTTGAGCATTTAAAGCAGCAATTCTCAATTATGGATGCACATTTGAACCATTAGGAGAGATGTTTGTTATACTAGTGCCTGGCCTTACTCTCAAATGTTATGAAGTAGAGAAGACCTCTTTCAGGTAGCTCATAAAGTGAGAAAAGAAAAGGAGTAAAGATTATACCCTGGAAATTACCAATATTTAAAAGGTTAAAAAATTTAAAAGTAGTGAGTCTTTAGTATACGTTTTATGATGGTGTCCCTATAAGAAAGACATTAAAAGGATAATAAGAAAATACTATGAACAATTTTATGGCAACAAATTTGACAAATTTGAAATAAGGACAAATTTTTGAACTTGTTCCATCAACGGGAAGAAACAGCTCTACGTCTATTACAGAAATGAAGTGTTTTTGCCTAAATCCTGATAGGAAGTATCCAGGCAAAGATATTTTCATTAATGAATTATTAATACGTTAAAAATATTCAAGGACAAAATAGAATTAATCTTCTACAGACAATTTAGAGGAGATGAAATAAATGCCCAACTCATTTTATGAGGTCAATATAACACTAATACTAAAATCTGATAAAGAATTATAACAAAAAACCCGGAAGAATATTACCGACCAGTATGCCTCACGTAAATAGATGGAAAAAATACTTTAAAAATATTAGCAAATCACATCCAACAAATACATAATTCGTGAATTATCCCTTGAACACAAGAATTGACCACTACGAAAGAACCACATGAGGTATGGTAGGAGCAACTCCACAGCCTGAAGAGGAACGTGGAAAAAAATAGTCAACAACAAAAACAACTGGTACCTACCACAAATGGCAAAATTTCTGATATTTCTGATGACATTATGCACACTTTTGCTGAGACAATTAACTCAGATTTTAGAGGTGTTATTTTAACTTGAATAAATGAATGCAACTCCCTGAATATCAGTAAAAAGGTGGTTAGGACAAAAAGAAGAATATGTCTAATTAAATAGGATCCTAAACCATTTGAGAGTGGTAAAAATAGGATCTTTAACTCCTAATCTTCATGCCAAGGCACTCATGAGTTAACTTAATTAAACTTCCAAAATGAGTTCTAAGTTCTAAGAGTCTTATATATCCTCTACTCTTAATATGCACTTAATACACTTCTTAAAAATCTGGTCATCCTGATCTAATTACTACACAATATCTTGCTTCTAAAGCAAGACATATTTAGATGATTTTTATCATCTGTGTAGGATATAATAATCATAAAATCTTGCTTAGCAGTGAAAGTTATTATTTATCTCTGCTTTAAAAACATACCATAATCATGACATCTAAATATAGCACTATATAGCCAATTAAGCCTACTCTAAGTAGAATGTGTGAAGCTTCCAGATACATGCTCTTTTATGTCATTTCAATTAGATTTCAGGACTTACATTTTGTGATAGCACATCCAGTTTCCTATTTCTTCTCTGCATTCTTGGCTGGTACAGTAAAAATTTAAATTAAAACCATTATTTACTTGCTCAGCTATCATCAAGTTTAATCCAGTAACATAATTATGTTAGTGAAGACTTCTTTTTGTGCCAGTCTTTAATCTTATCCAAATATTGAAAGGAATGCTGAGAAAAAGACAATCTCAGATGCTGCACAGAGCACTTGGCTGGTCAACAGCACTTGGCTGTTTTAAGTTGTGCTAAGTAGAGCAAAACAGAGCTTCTGTAAATTATGGTATCTTATTCCACAGCTCAGAGAAAGTAACTCTTTTGACCTCAGTGCAAATAATAAGGCTAGGTGGTATTCACAAGTGCAGCTCACTTGGATAAAGATAAAGGGGTGGAGGAGGGTGGCTAATGAAAGGAAGGAAGAGAAAGGGATCAGAAACATAAAAGGGGAAGATGACTAAAAATATGATAAAGAAATAGAAATGACCAGATATTCTATAGAGTCTAGCGCCAGGAGGCAATGATCATGGTAGGCTAGATGATATGGTAGTAAAAAGTAACCCCTGACTCTCTGTGGCTTGACACCATGTACAGGCTTCAGGTTTCATGCCTATTATTATCAACAGAGGAACCCTGCTCATTGTAATCACTCAGGGTCTTTAGGCTGAAGCAGTTACCACCATCTGGAACACTAAAAATCCTGTAGCAGAGTTGCCAATTGCACAATAGCTCTTAGTTTTCTCCATGAAAAGACACATATCACTTTTCTTGATGTTATTGGCTAAACAAGAAACATGGACCCACCTAATTTCAATGAGGGAAGGAAGTACTATTCTAAATATGCCTTGTAGGAAAATCATACATATTTGCTCAAGTAACAATAATATCTGATATTATTATAGCCCCTGCCAGATAGTGAAGTGTATGAAGTGTATACCACATAGTGCACTGTGCCTGACTATCCAGTATTCAATTTCCCTTTATTCTCTCTCAACAAATGTCTTTTTTTTTCTGAAGACAGTAATGGGAACAACTAAGAACTACATCTTCCATTTTCCTTTGTAGACAGAAGTAGCTTTAGACACAGTTCTGGCTAAAAATATAAGTGGAGGCCATTATGCGGAACTTTGAGAAATGCTCTGCAAAACAGTCACAGACTTAGCTGGCTCATAGCTTTCCTTTCTTCTCTTGGGGAAAGGAAAATTCGTGATGCTGGGGAATTGGGGAAGAGAAATCTTGCAACCTTGGGGACCAGAGTAAGCCTGAGACACTGATGAGACTGTGATTCTAATGTATTAGCCCTGAATTACCAACTTTCAAACTCCTAGTTGCATGAGGGAAAAAATCTCCCTATTTTGTTCAGCCACATTAAGCATTTTTATATGCTGCTGAACCTATTCCTAAGCAATTCAGAGCTCGAAAGCAGGAGTATAGCAGATCCTAAAGGACAGAATCAATTTACTAGAAACCCCATAGTAGCAAGAGTTAAGGATCTGCTCATTTTTCTTTTCCCTAAATCTCTTTCAGAACTGTGGCACCAAAACAACATTTTTTTTCTCTTAGGAGTATTTAGAATCATTTTCCACATTGTTCAGCCTTCTTGTGACTCCGTATTTCTATGTCATAAAGCTATGTGGAAAAACTGAGCACAACATCAGCTTTTGGCTTGATTATGATTCTAAGATGTTATTTTCTTCACATTTATTGTCTTTATTAAGTAGTAATGTTATCAATGAATCTCAGATATAGATCCTTTGAACCATCTTCCCTGGCAGCACCCCAAAATGCCTCCAATGCTCCCCACTTATGCTGCCCTCCTGTTACATTGCCCCACTATAATCCTGACCCCCTCTAAAAGCCTATAGTTTGCTTTCAAGTCATTTATTTATAAGACAAATGTGTCAACATGATAACATTAGATGGATTTCTAGAGGCAGAAGCAAATTCTCAAGTCTAGGAGGGATAGAATGAGGAAGACAGGGTAAGCAGGTGGATAGTTCTATTTCTACAACTACCATTGTGGGAATTACACAATTACAATAGGAATTTATTAGCTTGTATATATTCAACTTTTTTGAAATATTCTCCCATGTTTTCTTCCAATCACAGGATATTGCCATATCTTTGTCTTTCTGGTAGGTTTTCTTAATTAAAACATTCTGTGGGTATGTGATGGTGATTACGTGCTTGCCATCACTTTGTTGTTCTCTTACTGCTGATGGACTGCTCCATAGAGTAAATGTTATGGGATGATGCTATGTTAAGCCATATTTTCAGAAAACTGAAACAAAATGACCAGGAAATAGCTGAGGTCAATGTTTTCCTAGGGAAAAAAGAGATAACTATATGTATTTATCCCTTCATGCCTTAATAAATTTGCTGTCTCTGGCATATGAGTTTTACAGAATGACAGGTGTCAGTTAAGAGAGGTCTGACTAAAAATAAGAAAAACATTGTTAGTAAAACATATATTATTTAAAATTGTCTCAGAGGAAATTATAAAGAGCACTCTTAAGGTGTACTGGCACATACCTTTCCACAAAAAATACACCACAGGAGTAGAGGCCCAATTACACCAGTTCTAGAAAGATAAAACTTTCTTAAATTAAGTTTCATTTTTACACTAAGGAACATACTTCACTTACACAACACAATGCTTCTTTTCTGGGAGTGGTGTTCTTCTATTTCCCTCACTTCCCCTGAAAAATTATTTAACAGTAAGGATTGATCACCATCAAACATGTTTATATTCATGCCACTCTCTCACCATAGTTCTCTAGACCAGGAATAATCATACAGCCCATGGTGGGCCCACCAATTTGTATGAACTCCAAATGTGGAATACAATGACAAAAAATTAGTGTATGTGGGTGGATAGAAATATGATTTGTAAATTTAACAGCTGTAATGTGGTCATATTCAATCATGTCGTGAATACAAGTATTTGATTTAAAAAGCAAAAGAACAATGTCTCATGTTCTATATTTTCCTCATGAATAATATAAGAATTTTGTCATGTCTTTATCTTCTTCTGGATTATCTCCATTCTCTCTTTACCAAATGTTGGCATCGAGGTAGCTTAACATAGTAGGTAATAGCAGTACATGGAACTAACTGCCTGGGTATAAATCCCAGCTACACAGTTGATCAATCTGTGACCTTGAGCAAAGTCAACTATTCTTCATGTCTCAGTTTTTTAATTTGTAAAATGGGGATATTAGTATTACCTTCCTCAAAATATTGTCATAATAATTAAATGAATTAGTATTTGTCATAAGAATTAAATGAATTATATTTATCAGATACCAGATGATTAATATCAACTAGTATCTAATCAGCTAGTATCTTTTATAAATAATAAATACTATAAAAGTAGTATTTTATTATATAAATAAATATTAATGTTTATTAAGTGGAAAATGGAATTTTAAAAGCAAATTTACATGGCAAATACTTTAGTCACTGCAAATATTGACAGTATAATTATTACTAAGTATTTTATTTGTTATTACTTTCCATATCACAGAAGTTTCTTCTAAATTCATTTTCCTTTAGTGGAGTACATCCTCTTAGATTCCTTACAATGAGTATCTATCTGTGGGAAACACAGATAATAGTATATTTAAGATTTTGAATCCTAAAGTGTTTTTTTAGATAGGACATCAAGACAAAACAGAGTTTATTCTAGGAATCCAAAGTGTTCCACATCAGAAAGATATACTAGTGTGATTCACTATATTGAGTCAAAAAAAAGAAAATCTACACAGTCATCTCAATATGTACAGGAAAAAAAAAACTGCATTGGGCTGCAGGATCAGCTGTCAACTTTGCTTTACTCCACCCACCCTCTTCTGTGGTCTACTCTGCATTGCAGATGCCAGAAAATTTATTTTACAGAATTTTCTTCCCTATATACTTTCAGGCTAGAGCCTGCCAATGAAAGGACCTTGCACGATATTTGGAAAGTGAACTATAGGAGAGGTTTTTATTCCACGGAGGTTGTGAGAGCCAGATACCATGGTTTCATAGATTTCTGCACAAATTCCTACTTGGCTGCTGCAGATCAAGACCAACACCTTGGCCTTTCCCAGAAATCGGAGAGTTGCAGCAGTTTCCTGGCAAACTTGGGAGAGTCACTTGTTTAGTGGTTCAGATTGAAATCATCAGTGAGTCTTGCCTTGACCCCTCAACTGCCACTCTTCCTGACCTTCACTCACTCAGCTCTTATCGCATTCATATTAGTCTCGTTTCTGTTATTAATGGCATTAATTGTAATTATACTTTGGTACTGTTTATTGAGTAAAACAAGGCTAATAAAATAATTTAAAAATCAGAAAACTAAGAATACATAAAAATGTTCTTGTGCTGACAAAAGCTTTACCAGAAATTTACAAATACATTTATTTTTGTTTTTTCATGGTGAAGAATGTATTTAATTTACATTTCTAAATTTAAATATAATTTAATAATATCGATTGTTTTTATAGTTTCATTTCTTTTTTTAAAATTTCAGCTTTTATTTTTGATTATGGGGGTACATGTGCAGGTTTGTTACATGGGTGTATTGCACCCAGGTAGGGAGCATAGCACCCAATAGGTAGCTTTTCACCCCCCTCCCCACTACCTCTCTCCCCTACTTCTAGTGGTCCAGAGTATCTACTGGTCCCATGTTTATATCCATCTGTGTTCAATGTTATATACATTTATTTTAAGGTAAGAAACAAATTACGATGTGCATTATCACTTCTACTATTTAACAGAACTGGCCAGGAAATTAAATGACCTAGAAGAATTAGAAGTGAAAGGATAAATCAATTATTACTTGTAATGATGGAAACATTTACATTAAAAAAGATAATCAGCAAATTATACAAAATGATAAAATCGATATACTACATTTGTGGATGAAAATAATGGTAGCTCTTGTATGTTCTTACTTACAAGTGGTAGCTAAATGATGAGAATGCATTTACACATAGGGGAACAACACACACTGGGGCCTTTCGGAGGATGGAGAATGGGAGGAGGGAGAGGATCAAGAAAAACAACTAATGGGTACTATGCTTAATACTTGGGTGATAAAATCATCTGTACAACAACCCCCCCGACAGAAATTTACCTATGTAACAAACCTGCACCTGCACCCCTGAACTTAAAGTAAAAGTTAAAAAAAGAAAAATAATGATATCTCTTTATATCCCCAATAACTGATTAGAAAATGTAATTAAAAATAATATATCACTTTTAATAGCAATAACTCTCTGGAAATTAAGGCATAATCAAAACGGAAATTCTTTGAATAGTGTGGCATCTGTGAAATAATAATAAGTACACAGATGTCTGGAATAGTTTTGTAACTGTCTGCTACCTGGCCACAAAGTCAAGGTTACATATTTCAGGAAACTTCATGGCAGCAATCAGCTTCTAAGCTGATTTTATTATTTATTTATTTATTTATTATTTTTTATTATATTTTATTTTATTACATTTTATTTATTATTTATGTATTATTTTCTTATTTCATCCTGTCTTTGGACTCAAACTTAGACTGGAAGTATATTATCAGTTCTCCTGGGTCTTCAGCTTGTCAACAGTAGATCTTTGGATTCCTCAGCCTCCATATTCAAATGACAAAAGTGAAACTGAGAGTTTAAACAAAGTGTGCTGAAAGACACAGAACTCTGTATAATGAAATGTGTCAACATTAAAAATATCTGTATCACTCAGTAAATTGATATTTTTCAATGACCAATACGTGGGATTGCAAAATCATACGGAAGTATAAGATCTTTCCAAAACGCAAGGTAAGTTGAGCTGCCACACCCCACACATGCATCTTGGAACCTGAGGACTGTCTTGACTGGCACCCAATACCACTGACAACCTTTGCCGACTGACCAACGGAGCAACTGTGCCTTGTGTATATCCCCACAGAGCCTGACAATCAGCCTATGTAGTGACCCTGGTCCTTAGCAAAGCTACACCACTGCCTCCACAAACACCCACAATCTAGGCCACTGAGGCACTTTCTGACACTGCTGATGCTGATTACAGCCAAAGAAATCACAGGAAAACTACGCTATTGCACCCACCCAGAACCAAAGTCAAAGTACCCTGCACTGAAACTATAGGGCACATCTATAGAAAGAAAACTCATTTTTTTAATAATATCTACTCCATAAAATTGAAAGAGGCAACCACTCCACCAGATGCACTGATATCAACAAAGAGACACAAGAAACGTGACCAAGCAAGAAGCATGATATCCCCAAAGGAACACAATAATTCTCTAGTAGCGGAGCTTAAAGGAAACAAAATCTATGAAATGCCTAAAAAATTTCAAAATTATGATCTTAAGGAAACTCAGTGAGTTACAAGAGATTATAAATATACAATTTGACAAAATTAGAAAAGTGATGCATGATCTGAGTGAGAAATTCAACAAAGAGATAGATATAAAAAGGAACCAAATTGAAATCTTGGAGCTAAAGGATTTAACGAATGAAATCCAAAAATACAATAGAGAGCCTCAACAACAGTCTAGACCCAGCAGAAGACTCTCTGAATTTAAAGGCAAGTCAAGTCTTTTGAAATAACCCAGTCAGACCAAAAAAAAAAAAAAAAAAAAAGAAAAGAAAAAAAAAACATGAATGAATGAAGAAAGCCTACAGGAACTATGGGGCACCTTTAAGCAAATAAATATTAGCACTATGAAAATTCTAAAAGGAAAAGAGTTGAGTAAAGAGATAGAAAACCTATTTAATGAAATAATTGCAGAAACTGTACAAATACATGTAAATTAAACAATATGCCAAATGACCTGAATGACCAAAAGGTCAATGAAGAAATTATGAAGGAAATTAAAAATATATTGAAACAAATGAAAACAGAAGCACAGCATAGCAAAACCTATGATGTACAATAAAAGCAGTCTTAATTGGAATGTTTAGAGCAATAAATACCTACATCAAGAAGAAATAGAAAGATTTCAAATAATTAACCCAATGATTTACATCAAGATACTATGAAAGCAAGAAAAAAATCAAACTCGAAATTAGTAGAAGAAATAAGTAATAGAAATCAGAGCTAAAATAAACAAAATTGAGACTAAAAAAACCAAAAGATCAACAAAATGAAAAGGGGGTGTTATGAAAAGATAAAATCTACAAACTACTAGCTAGACTAAGAAAAAATAGAGGACATCTAAATAAGTAATATCAGAAATGAAAAAGGAGACATTACAACTGATACCACAGAAATATAAAATCAGTAGACACTACTATGAATAACTATACATCAAGAAAAACAGAAGACCTAGAGGAAATCGATACATTCCTGAACACATTCAACCTAGCAAGATTGAATGTGAAAGAAACAGAAAACTTGAACAAACAGAAAATGAGGAATGAAACTGACAGCAATAAAAAGTCTCCCAACAAAGAAAAGCCCAAGACTAGTCAAGTTTTCACTGCTGATTTCTACCAAATGTTTAAAGAATAACTACCACCTATTATTTTCAAAATATTTCAAAAATTTAAAGGTAAAGGAATTCTTTCAATCTCATTTTACAGGCCAACATTACCCTGATATCAAAACAAGACAAGGACACAACAACAACAAAAAAGAAAACCACAGACCAATACCCTTGATAAATATAGATACAACGATTCTCAAAAAAATGCTAGCAGACCGAATCAAACAGCACACCAAAAAGACTGAACACTATGATCAAGTGGAATTTATCCCAGGGATGCAAGAATGACTCAACATAAGTAAACTGATAAATGCAATGCAGCACATCAACAGAATGAAGGACAAAACCCATATGATCATCTCAACAGATGTAGAATTCATACTTAATAAAATTCAATATCTCTTCATGATAAAAACTCTCAAAAATGAGGTAAAAAAGGAATGTACTTCAACATAGCAAAGGCCATATATGACTTACTCACAGCTAACATTGTACTGAATAGGGAAACATTGAAAGCTTTTTCCTCTAAGAACTGGAACGGGCAGGACAAAGATGCTCACTTTCACCACTTTTATTCCACACAGTACTGGAAGTTCTAGCCAGAGCAATTAGGCAAGAGAAATAAATAAAGGACAGCAAAATTGGAAAGAAGGAAGTCAAATTGTCCCTGTTTGTAGACAACGTGCTCTCATATTCAGAAAAACCTAAGGACTCCACCAAAAAACTCTTAGGTAAAAGAGTAAATTTTAGGGTTATGAAAAGATAAACAAAATCTATAAACTATTAGCTAGACTAAGAAAAAATAGAGAACATCTAAATAAGTAATATCAGAAATGGAAAAGGAGACATTACAACTGATACCACGGAAATACAAAATCAGTAGAGACTACATGAATAACTATACACCAAGAAAAATAGAAGACCTAGAGGAAATAGATACATTACTGAACACATTAAACCTAGCAAGATTGAATGTGAAAGAGACAGCAAACCTGAACAAATTGAAAATGAGGAATGAAACTGACTCAGTAATAAAAAGTCTCCCAACAAAGAAAATCCCAAGACCAGATGGCTTCACTCCTAAACACCTCCTAAAATTTATATTGAACTACAAAAGACCCTGAAAAGCAATACAATCCTGAGCAAGAAGAATACAGCTGGAAGCATCACAATACCTGACTTGATTAAAACAGCATGACAGTTGCATAAAAACAAACAGATCAATGTAACAGAATAGAGAACCAAGAAATAAATCCATACATTTACAGCAATCTCATTTTCCACAAAGAACATACATAGGGGAAAAGACAGTGTATTTAATAAATACTGCTGGGTAAACTGGATATTTATATGCAGAAGAATGAAACTAAACCACTATCTCTCACCATATACAAAAATTAGACAAGTAGACCACTTTTTTGGATATATATCAAGCAGTATAATTGTGGATCATATGATAGTTCTACTTTTAGTTTGAGAAACTAGACCACTGTCACAATATACAAAAATATACAAACATACAAAAATCAACTCAATTAAGATAGACTTAAATGTAATATCCGAAACTATGAAACTGCTAGAAGAAAACATTGAGGAAATGCTTCAGAACATTGGTCTGCGCAACAATTTTAGGCATAGGACCTTAAGAGCACAGGAAACAAAATAGACAAAGGGAATTATATCAAACTAAAAAGTTTCTGCATAGCAAAGGAAACAATCAGCGGAGTGAAGAGATAAACTACAGAATAGGAGAAATCATTTGCAAACTATTCATTACACAAGGGATTAATATTAAGAATATAAAAAAACTAACAACTCGATAGCAAAAATCCAATAATCCATTTTTAAAATGAACAAATGATCCCAATAGGCACTTTTCAAAAGAAGACATATAAATGGCCAACAAGTATAAAGAAAAATGCTCAACATCACTAATCATCAGGGAAATGGAAATCAAAACCACAATGAGATATTGTCTCACCCAAGTTAAAATAGCTATTATAAAAAAGACAAAAAATAACAAGTGTTAGTAAGGATACAGAGAAAAGTGAATTCTTACACACTGTTAGTGGGATGGAAATTACTACAGTCATTATGGGAAATAATACAGAGGGTTTTCAAAAAACTAAAAATAGAACTACCATATGATCTACGATTGTAGTAATTTATATATATCCAAAAGAAAATAAGTCAGTATGGAGAAGAGATACTAGCACTCCCATTCTTATTGCAGCACTATTCACAATAGCCAGAATATGGAATCAACCTAAGTGTCCATAAACAGATGAATGAATAAAGAAAATGTGGCCTATATACACAGTGGAATACTATTGAGCCATAAAAAATGAAATCCTGTCGTTTGCAACAAGATGAATGAGGCTGGAGGACATTATGTTAAGTGAAATAAACCAGGCACAGTAAGTAAATACTGCATGTTCTCACTCATATGTAAAAGCTAAAAAAAGGTGAGAATAGGAAGACTAGGGGGAAGGGCAGCATAGGGAGAGGTTAGTTAACAAATACAAGATTAAAGCTACATAGGAGGAATAAGTTCTATAAGTTCTAGTGTTCTACAGCACAGTAGGGTGACTATAGTTAACAACAATTTACCGTATATTTTCAAATAGCTATAGGAGAGGATTTTGAATGTTCCCAACACAGAGAAACAGTAACTGTTTGAGGTGATGGTTATCTTAATTATCCTGATGTGATCATTACATATTGTTTACATATATCAAAATATTACACTGTGCCTCATAAATATGTACAATTGTTATGTAATTTTAAAAGTACAAGATAGATCAAGAGATTTTAATGTCACAAATTAACAAAATAAAGTTTAGATGTAATTTCAGTTTCTTCATTGCAACCAATCTTTAAGAATAGATGAGTATCAAAATTAATTTAGAAACTACCACTTCTTTAGTTTTGGTGTACTATCAAAAGGTATGTTCACAATTATCTGAAAAAGTATATTGAAATGTTCCTCCCTTTTCTAATTTCATATGTGTGTTAAGGCTGTATTTTCTTCACATACCTCAACTAATACAACATATCACAATAAATTGAATGCAGACACAAGAACAAAAGAATAATTTTCTCATTTCTTCTATAATTCTAGCAGAAATTTGACAAATAATTAATGAGGCCACACTATATGGAAAGCATTGGGGAATAACTTAATTAATTGGCACTACTGACCAAAATTTAGTTTCCTATTTTTCATTCCAAGGAGATTTTTTGTTTTCAAGTCAACCATTATCTGCTAGCAGGATTCCTGTAACGTTAGAGTAATAAATTAGCATTTGGGCTTAAAATATTTATCAAGCTTGAGCATATGTTTATTTATTATTTTTATTTTTTGAGATGGAGTCTTGTTCTGTCACCCAGGCTGGAGTGCAGTGATGCAATCTCAGCTCACTGCAACTTCCTGGGTTCAGGTGATCTTCTTGTCTCAGTCTCCTGCGTAGCTCAGATTACAGGCACGTGGCACCACATCTGGCTAATTTTTGTATTTTTAGAAGAGATAGGGTTTCACCATGTTGGCCAGGCTGGTCTCGAACTCCTGACCTGAGGTGATCTGCCTGCCCTGGCCTCCCAAAATGCTGGGATTACCCTGTGAGCCACCGCACCCGGCCTAGAGTATGTTTAGAATGAATTTGTTTTCTAGGGGCTGATCATATCAGACCCTAATAAATTACAGATTCTGCTTAAGCAAATAAATAAAACAAATATATACAATTTCAACCTCATGCCCATTTACTTCAGCAATCTGCTAACTTCACAGGGTCTAGTAAAGACTAGATGTTACAGACTAAATATGTGTGCTACCCCCAAATTTGTATATTAAAGCCCCAATCCCCAGTGCAATGGTACTTGGAGAAAAGGCCTTTGAGAGGTAATTAAGGTTAGATGAAATCATGACATTGGGCCCTCCTGTTGGGATTAGTGCTTTTATAAGAAGAGACACCAGAGAGCTTTCCCTTACCCCAACACACACTTGCACAGAAGAGGCCATGTGAGTATACAGCAAGAGGGCAGCCATTCGCAAGCCAGGAAGAGAGACTCACCAAAACCCAACCATGCTATAACCGTGATCTTAGGTTTCCAGCCTCCGGAATGGTGAGAAATAACTTTCTGTTGTTCAAATCATCCAGTATATGCTATTTTGTTATGGCAGCCTGAGCTAAGACACTAAGTGAGATAAACGAAAAGCACCAGACATAGAGTAGGAGTTTTTAAAATGACAGCTGCTATGTTTTTAGAGGGTAAGGGTAGGAGGAAAAATAAATGATGAGTAAACAATAGTCACTAATCTTATGAGTTTACAACCTAATATGAGTTTGAATTTTCTGCATGTAAAAAATGAAAGTTATAAATACACTGTAGAAATTTTTTAGACATTTTTTCCCAGTCATCTTTCTTTTTTAATTTTGTCTATTAATTAATTGATTGCTATACTCATTTATTCATCCAATGAGTATTTATTGAGTTACCCACTGAGGCTAACTTAGCAATGTTAGGCACGAAAGCTAGAAAGCTGAATAGTACATAGTAGTCCATTTCGTCTATCTAGATCCTCATGTCACTACTTCTATACCAACCTTTACAAGCAGATTAGCAAATAGTGTGAGTCCCTTTACTGTTTATTTAAATATTAATGATTTTTAAAAATCTTACACATAACTTTATCTTTCTGATGTTTTATTGCAAAAGAACATTGTGAAAGGATTTTGGTTTTATAGTACATTCCATTTTACTTCTCTAACTAGGGTTAAGGATTCTCTAGTCCAACTTCTAGCCATTTTATAGAACACAGTGTCATGAATATTCATGTGTAACTCTTACCCCTCACTTCCATTTTTTTCACTAGCAGTTCCCTTCACCCCGAACTCCCTAAGTTATTTAATCTTGTCTTGTAAAATTCACACATTTCTATGGATCACTTCAAATCCCTTGTGGCTTTAATATAAATATTAAAATTGTCCAGTGTGTCTCTTGAAGGATAGAGGTGAATGTAGCTGTTCTTATAGGTCATATTTACACTACTTTCAATAACTTCTCTGGCTTATTTTTTATTTTATCTCAAATGCAATTTCATGATTAAAGCGAACTCTAAGACTTTAAGAGCTAAGAATAGTCATGCTCTACATCAAATATCCTGAAACAAAATGGAAAAGTAGATGCTAGATTTTTTCCAGCAATTAATTCAATAAATCAATGTTTAATGAACGTCAGATATTTTTAGGAAGAATTATGAAGATTGTGATGAATAAATCACTATAAAAATAAAAGTTATTTTCATAGGTGGGAAAGCGGAAAAGGTAATTTTTTTGAAGTCACAGTTAGTACAAACTACACTCCATAACCTTAAATAATTTGGAGAAAAAACTTAACTTTTTTTTCTCATTGAATTTTGAAGGTACTTGTAATATTTCTATAGCATTTTGTCCCAGGTCAAGTAAGATATCTGCTATTAAACAATTTATAATGACATTAAGCCATTGTAGATTCGTTAGTCATAACTGAAATTCTACTGTTCTAATATAAATGAAATAGATGTTTTGGTGGCAATATTGTTTTTTATTCAATTTTTTCTTTTGTAAAATTGTAGTAAGAGCATTAAACCTGAGATCTACCCTTTTCACAAATTTTTGTGTGTATTATACATTATTATTAACTATAAAAGTGATGTTGTACACCAGATCTCTAGAACTTATTGACAGTGGATAACTAAAATTTATGAATAGCACAACTATTTATGAATAGCAAAGTTTCGAATAGTAATTTTTTATTTCCTCCTCCCCACATGCCCTGGAAACCACCATTCTACTCTCTGCTTCTAAGAGTTTGATTATTTTTGACCCTTTTTATAAGTTGGAGTCATGCAGTATTTGTCCTACTGTGACTGGCTTATTTCACTTAGTGTAATATCCTCCAGGTTCCTCCATGTGGTCACATAGAGCAGGATGTCCTTCTTTTTAAGGTTGAATAATACTCCATTGTATGTATTTACCACATATTCTTTATTCATTCATTCACTGATGAACATTTAGATTGCTTCCACATCTTGGTTATGTGAGTAATACTGGGATAAACATGGGATTACAGTAGCCTCCCTTTATGCATGGGAGAAACATTCCTAGACTCCCAGTGGATGCTTGAAATTGTGGATAGCACTGAACTCTACATATACAGTTAACCCTTGAATAGCATGGGTTTGAACTGGGCAGGTGCACTTATATGCAGATTTTTTCAATAAACATATTGAAAAATTTTTTGGATTGTTGCAATGACTTGAAAAAACTTGGAAATGAGTCATGTAGCCTAGAAATATCAAAAGAAATGAGAACAAGTTATTTGATGAATATATAAAATATATGTAGATACTAGTCTATTTTATCATTTACTATCATAAAATATACATAAATCTATTACACAAAATTAAAATTTCTCAAAACTTACCCACACAAACACTTACAGACCATACCTGGTACCATTTGCAGTTGACAGATATGTGAAGATGCAGAATGAAATCATAACTGCATAAAATTAACTGTAGCACACACTGTACTACTGTAATAATGTTGCAGCCACCTGTTCTTGTTGTTGTGGTGAGCTGAGCTCCTGTTGCAAGTATATGCTTGAAATGCCCTGTGACACTGATCAGCTGCTTGTAAGAAGTGTGTCTTTCCAGTAAATTGTGTGTCACACTAAAAATTGATCTCTGAAGTTTCTTGTATATTTTTCATCATGTTTAGTGTATTATAATATCATAGACCCTTAATAACACCATCAGACCCACAACAAGTGCTGGAAGTGTTTCCAAGAAACAAAGAAAAATTATGACATTACTATAGAAAGTTGAATTGCTTTATATGTACCTTAGATTGGGGTCTGCAGCTGCAGTTGCCTGCAATTTCAAGATTAGCATAAGGACCATTGTTAAAAAGAAAAGAAAATTCATGAATGTGTCGCTGCAGCTATGCCAGGAGGCATAGAAACCGCGCACTTTTTGCAAAATACCTTTTAATCTCCTATTGAAAATGCAGCTTTTATGTGGGTGCAGGATTGCTACAAGAAAGGTATAACTACAAACTCTAATATGATTCAAAGAAAAGCAAAGTCATTATATGACAACTTAAAGCAAAAGAAAGGTGAAGAATCTAAAGCTGGAGAATTTAGGGCCAGCAATGGATGGTTTGATAATTTTAGAATGTGGTTTAACTTAAAAAATGTCAAGATAACAGGAGAAGCAGCTTCTGCCAACTAAGAGGCAGGAACTGAGTTCCCAGGCACCTTTAAGAGAGTCATTTGAGGAGAAAGAATATCTGCCTAGACAGGTTTTTAATGAAGATCAAAGTGCCCTACTCTGGAAAAAAAATGCCACAAAGGACATTTATTAGTAAGTAAGAGATGCAAGCACCAGGATTTAAGGTAGAAAGAGATTTGTAGTTTTGTGCAAATGCAGTTGGGTTTATGATCAGACTTCCTTTACCTATAAAGCTGCTAACTTCCGAGCCTTGAAGGAAAAAAATAACCACCAGCTGCCAGGATTTTGGTTGTACAGTAAGAAAGCCTGGACAGGGGAAGCCACTTTCTGGGTTGGCTCCATCCTTGCTTTGTCCCTGAAGTCATGAAGTATCTTGCCAATAAAGGACTGACTTTTAAAGTTCTTCTGACATTGGACAATGGCCCTGCCCACCCAGAACCCCATGAGTTCAACATGGAGGATATCAAAATGACCTACTTGTCCCCAAAAACAACCTCTCTAATTCAGCCTCTAGATCAGGAGATCATAAGAACATTTAAGGCTCATTACATACAGTACTTTACGGAAAAAAATGTCAATAATATGGAAGAAAACCCTGATACACAGAGCATCAAAATCTGAAAGGATTATATCATTGAAGATGCCATTGTTGTTTAGAAAAAGCTGTGAAAGTCACCAAGCACCAAACAGCAAATTCCTGCTGGAGAAAACTGGGTCCAGATGTAGTGCACAACTTCACAAGATTCACAACAGAGCCAATCAAGGGAATCATGAAACAGATTGTGGATATGACAAAAAAGGTGGGAGTGAAGGCTTTCAGCTTATGGATCTTGGAGAAATTAAAGCACTAATAGACACCACCCCAGAGGAATTAGCAAAAGGTGACTTGATGGAGATGAGTGATTCTGAGCCAGTTCCAGACTAGGAAGGAGAAGATGTAGAAGAAGCAGTGCCAAGAAAGAAATTGGCTTTAGACAATCTGACATAAGGGTGCTGATTTTCAAGGCTGTTATTGACTCTTTTACAACATAGGTTTTTCTATTATATGGGCACTGAAACTAAAGCAAATGGTGGAAGAAAGGTTGGTACCATATAGAAATATTTTTAGAGAAATAAAAAGGCAAAAAACTCAGACAAAAACAATGCTGTATTTCCGTGAAGTCACACTGAGTGTGCCTGCCTCTTCTGCCTTCACTTCCAACTCCTCCACCTCTTCCACTTCTGCCCCTCCTGATACAGTAAGAGCAATCCCTTCTCTTCCTCCTCCTCTGCCTATTCAACATGAAGAAGATGAGGATGAAGACCTTATTGATGATCCATTTCCACTTAATGAATACTAAATATATTTTCTTTTTATTATGATTTTCTCAATAAAATATTTTCTTTAGCTTACTTTATTGTAATATAAAGTATATAATAAATACAACAAACAAAATACATGTTAATCAACTGTCTTATGTTATAGGTAAGGTTTCTGATGGACAGCAGGCTATTAGTAGTTAACTTTTGGGGGAGTCAAAAGTTTATGCACAGATTTTCAACTGTACAGGGGTTGGCAACCCTAACCCTTGCATTGTTCAAGGGTCAACTGTACTTGCACACATTTCTTTTTCCTCCTTTAAATTTCACTAATAGAAGATTTGTTCTTATTATAGATCTTAGTAAACTCAGCATCTGAATTTTTTTCTTTCCTCATTAAGTCAATAATTTTCACCTTTTTACTTAGAGGAAGCACTGTATTGCTTCTTTTTGGCATGTGCAAATTCATGTTTTGGGTGGGACAGGGTAGGATGGTAAATGATTTCATCACACCAGGCAGAATAGTCTGCAATTTAAACCTCATAAATTGTTTATTTCTGAAATTTTCCACTCAACATTTTCAGACTGCCATTGACTGTGTGTAACTGAAACCAGGGAAAGTGAAACTGAAGATAAGGGAGAAATACTCTACAAATATCTCTTCGAGATACTGATTTCAAATCTTTTGGACAAAGACTCAGAAGTGGGATTGCTGGATGATATGGTAGCTCTGTTTTTAATTTTTTGAGGAAGTGTCATGCTGTTTGCCATAGTGGCTGCACCGTTTTCCATTTCTATCACCAGTGTACAAGGGTTCCCATTTCTCCACATTCTCACCAATATTTGTTATCTTTTGTCTTTTTAATAATAGCTATCCTAACAGATGTGAGACGATATGTCATTGTGGGTTTGATTGCCATTTCCCCGGTGATTAGTAAAATAGACTTTTAATGCACTTTCAAGACATTAGCTCCTCAGCAATGGGGTCTCCTTGTGGACCAAGTCCTTCTGGTGTTCAATATTCTTATAAAGGCATGGTTCTTGTACAGACAGCAGAAGCATTAGCAAAGTGTTTTAACATTTATCTGCATATCTGGAAGCCACATTTTGAAGATTATCCAAACAAGGGTAAGAACTGGGCAAAGAGAATAATAAATGTCTTCTCCATTGATAGGCCACACAAGTCTACATGCTGATCACCTGTCAAGAAAATAGTATAAATTAAGCAAAAAAGATGCTAATTGGAGCCCCAGTCCCATACAGCAGATCATTTTCTTTTAAGTGTCCAGGGAACATGCAGAACAAAGCTGGAGTTGGTAGTATAAGTCACTGGGCAAGGCAAAGCTGTAAGAGGTGTATCCTCCGGTAACCAAACCAAAGCATAATGTCCCTAGAGCTAAGCTGGCATAATTATTCATAAATTCAAATACAAGTTTCTAATTTTTCTGAAAAATGAGTTTGAATTGTGCCTTCTGGGAACTTGGTGTGTGGGAGGAAGTAACAGATCGTGAATAACCTAGCATTTATTGCAAACAAATATGGTCATTTAAAATGTCATCTCCTTGTAATAGCCAAGGGCAAAACACCAGAAATTAACTCAGCAAAAACATTTATGCAGAAGGTAAGTTTATGTGGGCTGTGTTTAGCTTTATACACCGAATTCAAACTTGGTTAGTACCTAGGAATCATAGCAGAATGGCCAGTCTTAAGGTAGCTTCCTTAGACATAAAATTATGGACATCAGAATTTTTTTTCTTGGATGCTTTACAATTATCAGCTCAAGGCTGGTCCCTCCAGTAAATAACCACTTCAATTATTGCATATGATAAAATAATTAAATAATAAAGAATAGTAATGAGAACAGAAAAAAGTAATTCTTGCACATACCATGTGCCAAGTACTATTTTAAGTCCTTCACATGTATTAACTGATCTAATCCTAATGACAAACTAGGGAAGTGCTGGTATTATTTTCTTTTTATGGAGAGTTTCATATTTTCCCAGTGTCACAAATTTTCTGAGGGGTGAAGTTAAAGTTCAAATACAGAATTCTTCCTCTGCATTCTATGCCATTAACCATTGTGGTTTATTCTCTCTCTCCCTCTCTTTTTCTCTCTCTCTCTCTCCAGTCTAAATTATCCATTAGACTAAATAGTCAGTGAAGCCTGACAGTCTGTTAAGCAGGTTTAAACACATTTTGCATGTGGGGTTTGGTCAATTTTAAAACCAAAACTAATGTACAAATTAACTGTGAACAAACAATGATGCCAAGGAAATTCATATTAATAATATTAATTTAATCTAAGATATGATATTATTTTGCCAAATTTAAAATTAAAGTTGGTTTTAATAGTGGAATGATGTAACTAAGTTCACTTTTATATTAAATTAGTTTCTGAATTGCCCTTTAACAATATTCATGTAAAGACCGACTATTTGCATGAGCATGTTACTAAAAATTGGTAGAGTTATATTCAAGTTTATTTTCTAGATCATTTGCTGATCTTTTTGAAGCATAGGGTGAAGCACTAGATTAAGTTTCAGAAGTACCATTTCAGTTTTTGTAGTTTGTGAATGTATATATGTTGGGTATTACACAGAACCGCAAGTATGGAGTTTATAATCCCTGACTTCCAGAAGACTTTCCTAGTATCTAAATTATAAGAGAAAAGAAAGGGACAAGGGATAGGAACTGGGGTAGGGCCATGCAGGCGGACAGAGGGCTAACATAATCACATGCCATGAAAGAGGAAGAGGAGGAGTGATGGATGTCTGGTGGGTAACCAAGAGTGTCAACAGTATATAAAGCAATTATTGAAATCAAGAACAAAATAAGCCTTCATTGCTTAAACATGTATTATCAATGAACTGCTTTAGTCTTTCTTCTATCTACAAATGTGGGATCTCCCAAATACATTCTCACATAATGTGAATATGGTCCTGACTGCCAGAATGCAGGTTGTCTTCTGTTTGTTGTTTAATTGGGCATGTCTTTACTACCAAGAATGAGTGAGGACAAATTATTTTATTGCTTATATCTATTTGAACTTTTAAAAACATTTCATTTGCACAAAGTATTGTGGTAATAGTCTTAACATAGAGCAGCCACATTTGATATAAATAAATACAAATAAATTTTCTGGTAGTTTTAGGTTACAAAACAATCTTAATGATTCCAGATATGCTTATAATACACTTAAAAAATTTTTATAATAAAAAATGTAAAAATTATCATAAAATACTGGACTTACTGGAACATTTTCAGAAAATCCCAGTACAGTTTGAGAAATAAGCTGTGGTAAGAGACATTACGGAACAATACTTCAGGATTCCAACACCCCATACTGCACTGTGATGGCAGAAGCAAAAATCAAAAATAAAACTGGCTAAACAGAGAATTCCCATTTATTGGAGAAGAACTGAGTGAGGATAAACTGAAAAGTTTAAGGGAAAAAATAAACCTAAACAAGACTTTTCTTCTTAGCTTCATGCACTCAAAATGACAGTAGTGTTGAAGAGCTGTTTTGCCTACAGTGACCTATGTATCCTATTCATGCAGATATGGTACGATGATTTCTCCTGACAACACATTTCTAAATGATTATTTTCCTAGACATAATTTTAAATGGATTATGTTATTTACATAAGCGTTGGAAATGTTTGCTCAAGAGCAAATGGCTTTCCTTGCTCTTTACAGTGAATCAGAAGTAACTCACCTAACCCTTCACTTAAATAGCTCATGGGTAACTCCAGACGAGACAATTGGAAAGGGTACAGGAAGACCGGGATGGTGGTGTAGTCACCTCTCACCCTAGTTCTTTGCCTTTAGCCTTCCTAATTGTGAGTGGTGGCTGTGATTACCACTGACTGTGTTAGCACGGCAGACAGAGCATGCCAGCGACAAAGGCTTGTGCCTCATTACTCTGAAAGCAGATTAGGAGGATTAATGTGCTTTGGCTTCACTATGAGAGTTTTTCGTTTTTAACACATGTTCTGAATACAAAGAACCCACTTTTTGGTTGCCTTAGATCTCCTGAGAGTTGGATCCTCTGTTTTAGAAGGTCTGCCATAAACGAAAAAGCACCTATATGAGTTGAAGTGACCAATACTCATCCCAAATGACTTCTTTGCAACTACAGGTGTATTAAGCAGTGGGGAAATCTGGATGCTTGAATTATAACTGTGAAAATAGCTTTTGTTGGTAAAAGTACTAAAGGTCACTGGAGCCTTACATTTTGAAAGATAATATTTTACCCTGGCTTTTATATTGGCACTACGATGCCAAGGCAGGGACTTGTGGTCAGTCTGGCACAGGATATCAGAAGTCCTGCCAGAAACATTTTTCACATCCTTTGATGAAATACTGCATTTTACATGAATCATGGTGCCTCCTGTTCAAATCTGAAGCAATGGCTTGTCAAAAAATTCTCATAAATTCGTGAGTACGCATGCGAGAGCAAAAGAAAGAGGATTCTGTGTGCCCTTTCTGAGTGGCAGAGAAGTCAATGAACATTTAGGAAATGACTATGTAAGAGTAATGAACCGTTTGGGAAATGCGGACTGAGACTACTCAGCCAAGACCTACGATTAGGGCTAACACAACATCCCTGTGGCTTTATTAACCCCAAAATGGATCTAATACAAGCTCAATGTGGTCAAGTGCCTGCTCACTGCTGCTTCCCCCACTCATGAATTTAAAATGACTTGCAGCCCCTGTACTTTTCAGTTCTGATAAATGTCCATAATGGGAATTCACACAGTTTAATTGCCATTCACCCTACCGAAAATATAATGCCTTAAAGACTGATGGTGAAATTAGCCTAGGTCACAAAGTTTCTGACTGATTCTGCCTGAGATAATTAGTGGTGGCTCCAGTTCTTCGCCACAGGTGGCCCTGTTGCACTCTTATGTGTAAGAAAAGGAGGATCTGCTCACAATAGCATGCTTGTGGGAAGCAAGCAGTTCTTTGAATGACTAGAGATTGACTCTTTATACTTTAAAAATGCCTTAAGGTTGGTAGTTTCAAAGTAAAGTGGCCTGGAAGGATTTTATTGCTTTGGTCAGTGTAAAATCAAGAATATAAATTAGTAAGCCTGTAATTTAATGTTCTCTTGCTTTAACTAGTTCACAGGCACACTGAGAGCTGAAAATCTCATTTGTTTGTAATGAATCTGTACTGTAAAATTATTTTGGAGATGAAACATAGATGTTCTATAGAATTATATAACTTTAAACTTTAGCATTACTATTGTTTTATCTAAAACATTAATCCTTTTCTGCCTTTTTTTTTTTTTTTTTTTTGAGATGGGATCTTACTCTGTTGCCTGGGCTGCAGTGCAGTGGCCCAGTGGCCCAATCTCGGATCACTGCAACCTCCACGTTCTGGGTTCAAGCGATTCTCCTGCCTCAACCTCCTGAGTATCTGGGATTACAGGCACTCACCACCACACCTGGCTAATTTTTTTATATTTTTAGTAGAGATGGGGTTTCCCCATGTTGGCCAGGCTGGCCTCAAACTCCTGACTCCTGACTCCTGGAAATGCCTGGATGCCCAGGCAGAAGTTTGCTGCAGGGGTGGGGCGCTCACAGAGAATCTCTGTTACGGCAGTGCAGAATGGAAATGTGGGGTTGAAGCCCCCATACTGAGTCCCTACTGGGGAACTGCGTAGTGGAGCTGTGAGAAAAGGGCCACTGTCCTCCAAATCCCAGAATGGTAGATCCACCGACAGATTGTACCATTCACCTGAAAAAGCCATAGACACTAAACGCCAGCCCATGAAAGCAGCCTGGAGGGTGGCTGTACCCTGTAAAGCCACAGGGGTGGAGCTGCCCAAGACCATGGGAACCTACCTCTTGCATCAGCATGACTTGGATGTGAGACCTGGCGTCAAAGAAGATCATTTTGGAGCTTTAAAATTCGACTGCCCCACTGGATTTTAGACTTGCAAGGGCCCTGTAATTACTTTGTTTTGGCCAATTTCTCCCATTTGGATGGCTGTATTTATCCAATACCTGTACCCCCATTATATCTAGGAAGTAACTAGCTTGCTTTTGATTTTACAGGCTCATAGGTGGAAGGGACTTGCCTTGTCTCAGATGAGACTTTGGACTGTGTGTGGACTTTTGGGTTAATGCTGAAATTAGTTAAGACTTTGGGGGACTGTTAGGAAGGCATGATTGGTTTTGAAATGTGAGGACATGAGATTTGGAGGGGCCAGGAGCAGAATGATATGGTTTGGCCATGTGACCCCACCCAAATCTCATCTTGAATTGTACTCCCATACTTCCCATGTGTTGTGGGAGGGACCGGTGAGAGATAATTTGACTCATGGGTGCGGATCCCCCATACTGTTCTCATGGTAGTGAATGAATCTCGTGAGATCTGATGGTTTTATCAGGAGTTTCCGCTTTTGCATCGTCCTCATTTTCTCTTGCTGCTGCCATGTAAGATGTCCCTTTCACCTCCCGCCATGATTCTGAGGCCTCCTCAGCCATGTAGAACTATAAGTCTAATTAAGCCTCTTTTTCTTCCCAGTCTCGGGTATGTCTTTATCAGCAGTGTGAAAATGGACTAATACACATATACAACCGGAATGCTATTTATTTTGGCCAAGAAGAATGAGCACTTGTTTTGATAATATAAAGTCCTGAAACATGTGCCTACAAAACAAATTATTTTAAGTTAATCAGGTATATTGTGCAAATTGAAGTATTCTAAAAAGGAACGGATACATTATCTAAGCTGAAAGAGGGGAACAAAAATCAGGCAGTAAATGAGCAACTTGGTAAAAATCACAATTCAGAGTGATTAATGGTATGTTCTTTTGGAGTCAAATTTGTCTGGCTTAAATATCAGCTGGATAACTTTGGGGAACTTACTTAAGAGTTCTCCAAAGACCTAGAGAGACATCTCTAAGTCTCAATTTCTCCATCTTTAAAATTAGACAATAATTTTTACTGTATAAGTTTTTATAAAGATGAAATGAATTTTATAAAGAATGTAGCTCAGAATTCTACAGGTAGTGAATTTTGATAATTGGTACCCATGAGATTTACTCAGTCAAAATTAATTTGACAAATATTTATTGAGGTCCATTGTGTGCCAGACATGATTTACTTACTATGTAGCAATACACTGGTGGGCAAAAGCAAGCATAGTCCTAACTCTCTCAGAGCTCCCCAGTTCAGCAGGGAAAATTCTTTAATCAAATGATCTCACAAGTAAATTTATAATAAAATTACAACTGCAAAAAGTACATGGCACCATAAAAGAATTTAACAGGGAAATTAAATTAATTAAAGATACTAGTGAAGGTTTCCTCGAGAAAGTGACAATTCAACTGAAATATAAAGGAAAAATAGAAATAAGATACAGAGAAAGATTTTTCCAGGCAGCATTTATGAAGCCACATGAGATGAGGAAACACTGCTCATTAAGAGAGTGAAAAAAGCCATTGCTGTAGAACTGCTAAGTGTGAGGGAGGAACAAAGAGTTGAGGTGAAGATGTCATAGAAGGGGTTGCTTGTATCTTGCATGGGCTTAGAGTTTTAAATGGAGCAGGATCATGAACATACCCAATTGAAAAGATGACCCTCACTGCAATGAGAAGAATGGATTGGAGAGCAGCATGAGTGGACATGTGTAAGCCAATAGGAGGCCAGTTTAGGAGTTTAGGCAAGAGAGAGTGGCAGTTTGAGCTAGGGTAACAATAGTGGAAATGGAGATGAGATACTGGATTTGAGTTCATAAGTACAGGACTTGAAGTTCAATTTAATATGGCTTTATTGCGAAATGCCTGGGACACTATCCCTTATCCCTTCTCTCTTTCTTTTCTAAATGTCTATTTCATACCTTCTCTTTTTTTCAACGCTCTTCCTCCTCCGTTCTCACTCTCAGATAAAGACCTTGTTCCAGAGTCACTGAAGAAACGGAAGCAATCAGAAGAAAAGTTCTGGATGCCTCAAACTGCACCTACCAGCCTCTGCACCCTCTTACACTGTCCCCTGCTCTGACTGTGGTTTGACTACACAAGCCTGTCTCAAGCTAGTTCTTGCATATGTGCACCGGATCCCACCATCACTCAATTTCTCCAGCAATTCTCTTCTCTTTCTGTCTTTCCTCCCCCTCTGTCTCTCACACCATTCTCCTTAGTGTACAAATATGCCCTTTTTCTCTCATTAAAAGAACGCTCTTGATCCTGTTTTGTCCAATAGCGCTTTTCCATTGTTTTGCTTGATTTTAAGCAAAATTCCCCCAAAGAGTTATTTGTAGTTTTTCTCCAATTCTCCCACTTCTATTGTCTCTTTAAGCCCACTCCAAACCAGCACCATTCTACCAAAACTATAAAATACTGTAACCAACAAGGTTTAGTCATGCACAAATTTGTATGCTGGGCCTAGAAAACACAAGAAAAAACTTATAAGAAATGTATAACCCTTAGTCACAACCAGAATAATTGTGAAACCTACAGCCACAATCTATTGCATGCTAACTGTTATTACAGACTAGCAACCTAAACCTTTCGTGCAAATTCACATGAATTGACCTGCTAACTGAGCTATTTGGTGGGCAGAGGTTGGGTAGTTGTTATGGACAAACATTATGATGCTTTATAGCCTGCTGCTGTGTCCCTTCTCTGCCAGCTTACTGTAGACCTCTCTGTGATTCATGGCTATCTCAAGAATCTAAGCATTGATTTTTAAATTCTAATGCATTTAGGGTTATTTATGAAGTAACCATACATGTTTTTGTCTTTATGGTATCATAGTAAGTATGAAAAATAATAAAGATGTCATTATTGACCACCAGCATCATTTAGAACATACCTAAGCGGGGGTTGGGAGGGGTGGTGAGGAAGAACCTTAGAACAACTGATTTCCTGAAACAATTTCTCTCAATCAGAGTGTGTCTCATACTAAAACAGATGAAGGCAGAAAACAGTACAGTACATGAAGTGAGAGGAACAAAGATTTATTATAACTGGTTAGGTTTTGGGACCACAATTAAATGTCACATTAATAAATGGGCTGAAAGAACATACTTTATCTGGAAAAATAATGAATTTAATAAAATAAATAAACTGTAAAACATCTGACTTTGCTGCCATTATAGACCTCCTCAGTATTTCTGCTTCAATTCTACATTAGGAATTCAAATTCACATCTATGCATCTGGCATAAATCAAAACTGATGAATTTGTTAAAGGATTTCTATTTGGTGTTGCTATTCAAGAAAATGACTTGATTCATACCATCTTACAACTTGCTTCTGGTGCTTTAAAGGCAAAATCATTATTTTGATGTTGAATAATAAGAAGAATTTTAGTATAAAGAAACTGAAAATGTTTACATCACATTAAAGCAAGACTTTAATATAACAACTCAGGATTAAAGATAGGTACTACAATATGCACTAGAAAATGATCTTTTGAATAAACTTAACAAATTTTTACCTCAACTATCTACAGTAACAGTCCTGATATCTTCAGGTTTATAAACAAATAATGAAGGTAAAATACACATTTAGGATAATATATTTGTCTTCATATTCTATGTTCATTTCAAATGGGCACTTAACATTATTAAGATGAATAATACAAAATCACCAAAAATATCAAACTCTAAACTTTTAACTCCTCAAAGAATGGAGGCCAGATAATATTAATTTGAAATATGTGCTATTGTCTGACTGTTGGCATACCCCCAAATTCATATATTGAAATCCAAACACTGAAGGTTATGGTATTTGAAGATGAGCCCATTGTGAAGTGATTAGATCATGAGGGCATCGTCCTTATTAAAAATATTAGTGCCCCTATAAAAGACACAAGGGAGCTTGTCTCTTTCACCCACTTGAGGACTCAGCAAAAAGATGCCATCTATGAGAAATAGCCCTGATCAGACACCAAATCTGCCAGTGCCCTGATCTTGGACTTTTAGCCTCCAGAACTATGAGAAATAAATGTTTCTTGTTGATAAGCCACCCAGTCTGTGATATTTTTGTTATGGCAGCCCAGACAGACTTAAAGAATATGCATATTATGACTATTATGTGTGAGATATTCAGCAGCTGAGCGCATTGGGTTGAATTGTCAGATATGAAAGCCATTAATCCCACATGACAGTTAAGCACTTGAAATATGGTGACTCCAAATTGAGATGTGCTGTAAACAATTCATACTAGATTTTGAAGACAAGACCTATTATTTTTAAACTAATGCAAAATATCTCATTAAGGACTTCTAGTATCCTTTCCAGAATGCAAAGAGCAGGGAAGAATATCACTCCCACCCTTATAACAAAAACGAGTTGGAATAACTTCAAATTCATGATTCTTTTGTAATCTTTCAGATAACTGAGGTTGCAGAGCAACCAATGGGCCAAACTCTAACGAGGGGCAGGCACCTGCAGGGAAAGAGGATACTGTGTGCTTGCTTCCCAGATGCCACTGGGCACCAACAAGTAGAATTCAGATACAATAGTCAATGAATTGGTGAAGGCTCAGGGAAGGCTGGAAGGGCAGTGCAGAACCCTTGAGACCTGTAGAAAGTGGGGAAGTTCTCATCTTCTTGCAGGATTTTTCTCCACGAATCCTCCCATGTAATCACAGAAAAAATGAGAGAACCTGAAGAAAGTATTGGATTTCATGCAGACCTGGGGTAGAAGAATAGCACCCCAAAACGAGGAGCAAGAAACTCTACTTGAACCTTTTTTCTCATCTCCTCTGACTGAAAAAAGCCCATGGGAAGAAAGGAAACAAACACTTTTGCCTGTAGAGTACTGCTGATAAAAATACCAGGAAAAACCAACTCCTAGAGAGGCTGGGCCCACACAGTCAGCCCAGGGGCAGGATAACTGAGAAGGCCACATCTATGAGGGTTAAAGATATTGTGCCTGTCTAAGGTTGAGGCTTAATCAGAACAGGGAACCCCTCACCACCACCCACCACCCACAAGCAAACGAGCTTCAGTAATGACAGTGTACAAAGAGATCCTCTCTGGGGTGCAATTAGAAAGGAACATCTAAAGCTGAGGGCAAGCAAATATTAATATGGCAAGTCAGTCCTCATTCTCCACATAATGTTTCACTATGGGAATACAAAGGTTGCATTGATTTTAACTATAGAAACCACAGCCTCAAACCTCTACACTAATGGCCTAGCAGATAGAAAGATGTACCATTCCCAGGCTAAATTATATATATGAAAAGCCACAGCCATGAAACAAAACAGTCATCAGATCCAAACTCAGATATAGCACAGATGTTGGAACTATGTGAGAGGAAATTGAAAATAACTATGACTAATGTGTTCAGGCTCTAGTGGAGATGGTAGACAACATGCAAGATCAAGTGGGTAATTTCAGCAGAGAGATGGAAGCAATTAAAAATAATCAAATGAAAATTCTAGAAGTTCAAAAATACAGTAAGAAAGATAAAGAGTGCTCCTAATGTGTTCATGAGTACACTCAACACAGGCAAGGAAATAATCAGTGAACTGGAAGGCAGGTCAGTAGAAATTACCCAAACTGAAACACGAAAAGAAGAAAGAGTGAAACAAAAATAAAACAGAGCATCCGCAAACATTGGTACAAAACCGAGCAACATAACATACACATAGGTAAAATGCAGAAGGAAAAGAGAGAATTTGGTAGAAGAATTTTTTTTGAAATAATGAAAAAATGATGACTAAGGATTTCCTAAAAGTAATAGCACATAACAAACAACAGATCCAAAAATTTATAGAACACCAATAAGAAAAATACCAAAAGAGATGAAAACAAATGAAAGAAAACAGAACAAAATAGAACCATATACATAGACGTATCATGTTCAAACTGATGAAATTAAAATTCAAACTGAAAATGCTGACATCAAGCAGATATAAAAGTCACATTACACACAGAGGAACAAAGATTAAAATTACAGTAGAATTCTTATATGAAACTGTGAAAGCCTGAAGACTATAGAATGCTATCTTTTTTTTATAAATGTTCAATTCTTTATTAGTGTACATGTCATTACAGTTGGTTTAGATGGTAAATATAGGAATAAATAAAATAACTACAGTTCATTCAAAGGAAATTAAAATGAGATTAAAGAGTCCTGATAAAAAAAATACAACTTTCAGCTGAAAAACTATAAAAGTTACATACATACATACCTAATGGCACTAGGAACATACAATCTGAATTATTGGAAAAATAAGTGAATGACTCAGTCATAAGAACTTATTTAATATTAGTATTTTTTCTTTTATAGACAAACATAACATACACATGGTTTCTACCTTCTACAAGACAAAGTAGAAAACTAACCGTTACTGCTTTTACCTCAAACACAGAACTGACTGTGCCACAGATAACGTGGTCCAAAATATTCAATTCTATAGATAGGCCATGGTATTGAATGCATGGTTACGTTTTAGGAAAGGCATATATTTCCAGAAGTAAGTATGTTAAATACACAAATATCTATAAATAACAAAAAGTTATCAGCAAAAACACTTAGGTTATAACATTCCTAAACTTTCTAACATTTTAAGTATTTTGGATAAATGTTGTCCGATCAGTTGGTTTGGTTACAGTTTTAAACTAGCAAACCATTACCCTATAAGAGAGCTAAACTAAACTATAACACTGCACAAACTTCCCAAGGAAGGTAAGTTGAAAAGTCTAAAAAGTGATTCCAATTATTCTAATTAACATTTGAGATACTAAAAGAGTCAACGACTCAAGAAACACTTTGAAGTAATTCCATTTTTCTTTATCATTTTCTAAAAAAGTATTCACATAAATTTAAGATCCAGATTGCTTAAGAGTATGTCTTCAAAGTAGGTTTATCACTAAAGCATTCTGATCCACAGACGTAGTCTTAATGCTTCTAGTATGTGATTCTAACCTAAAATCACAATCCTTGGTTTGAAAACATCAAAGCTAAGAAACAAAAAAATAAATCAGCGTGAAAATGTGCAGCAGCTATAGCTACAAAAGTGGAAAATAAATTCTATTTTTTCCATAAAGACTCTATGAAAATATAAAGCCCAAAGTCAGTGACAGCAGAAGTCTACATACAAATGGTGTTTAAAAATAGAAAGTTTTCTAAAGCTTCTCATGAAATGTCAATGAATAGTCATAATCTGAGTTAAGACCTTATAAATCAAGGTTAAGTTATACATAACTATGCTGATTTACATAACTTCTACAATGTTCAACTGACATACATAATTTAGACACCCACAGGAATTCATAATGCCCTATCATATCATCTCTCAATACTGGATGTTTATTGTTTTATAGTTTTACTACTTTAAGTACCAAGAAGCATTTTCAGAGGAAGAGTTCCATCTCTTCCCTTGATCCCCCAAAGTATAGGTAACAAAATATAAAATTAAACAAGATTTATGTTTGATAAACTAACATAAAATTACCATTGCAATTTTCATAGTGACTGCTTATAAACGTAACAGTCATCATAAAGCCTATGAAGTATATACTTAGTTTTTTTTATTATACTGTAAGTTCTAGGGTACATGTGCACAACGTGCAGGTTTGTTACATATGTATACATGTGCCATGTTGGTGTGCTGCACCCATTAACTTGTCAGTTACATTAGGTATATCTCCTAATGCTTTCCCTCCCCCCTCCCTAAAGCCAATATAAATGAGATCTTACTAACTAAATGTTACTATAGAGTAAATCTGTTGACCTGAATTAAATCCATCCAAAATTGAATGACAACAGAAAAATTTCATCTATATAATTGATCCTGTATTTAGGAGCCATAGAATGATATCTTCGATGTACTGAAAAATAAATGTGTCAATCCATAATTTATACTCTGTAAAAAATATCTTCCAAAAAGAAAGCAGATATAGAAAAAAAAACTGAAGTAATTCATTTCTAGTAAACAGACACTACAAGAAACTGTATTAAGGTTCTTAAAGGAGAATAAATATAATACAAACAGAATTTTGGACCCACTCAAAGAAATGTAGAGGGCTGGAGTATAATTAAGATAAAAGAACTTCTTATTTCTTAGGTAAAATAGTCTGAAAAATAACAGACAGTTGCAAGAAAAAATAATAGCAATATGGTTTGTGTTTACAGTACATGTAAAAGTAAAACAAATGATATCAGTGGTACAAAGCATGGACGGAAGCGATTGGGAATATACTATTTTGAGATCCCCGTGCTACATGTATGATATTTGAAGGGAGAACCTGATTAATTAAAGAAGTATATTGTAAATTCTAGGACATAAATGATAAATCAGTAAAGAAAATAAAATGGAACCATACAAAGCTCAATTAATCCAAAATAAGACAAAGAAAGTAATAAAGATCAAAGGGAATGAATAGTGAGAGAACAGCTAATGCGATGGCTCCCAGCTGCTCCCGGCATCAGCCTCTGAGTCAACCCAACTGAGGTCCCAAACCTTATGAGACAGAGATGGACCACACTCTTTATACTCTTTATACTCTATACTCTTGGAACTCAAAGTTCCAAGGAAAGAATTGTGAGGTTCAATAATAAGAAATTGTCATCTATAGACATTCTGTTTGGAGATAGTTTATTATATAGTAATAAGTAATTCGAACAGTTGGAATTTATTAAATTGAAAGACACAAACAAAAATACTACCCAAATTAAGCCAAATAAAAATATATTTATAATAAGGGTGTAGGAACATCTCAAATACTTTTGAGAAACATAATTGTGCCTGACAGGTCATAGAAAGTCTTTAGTCAGCGACTCTCTTTGTATCTCTATCTGGTGGCACATAGATCCCTGCATTATACAGGGGAATAGACTGGCATTTGAGCCATCTGACAGTGTTACTGACTGCTATTTGGAAAGAAAGTATCAAAAAACAATGTGACAGGACGTGTTTCTGTGAAGATAAAGGAAAGAGTGATTCAGAGATTCTAGTTCAGCATACCCATTATGAACAGGGGCTTACAGGCCAGACAAACCTCAATCAAATTCCACCTGCTGTACTTTCTAGCTGGGAGACAAATTTCTTTACCTTGCCAAGTCTCAGTCCTTACATATATATTTGGAATAATAGAAATTCACAGATAACGTTTTAGAAATCAAATGATATACTGTTAACAATGTCCCTGGTTCTCAAGTAAGCTATTATTATTTTAGGGTGTTTTGGATAACTGGTTAATCAGGGGATTTAAACCACTGAGACAAAACAATAGGAAGAAGAATAAATCGGGGAGAAGAAAGTTAAATTTTGCACATGTTGAATTTTAAATGCTTGTGGGACATTTCACTGAAGATAAACAGTAGATAGTTGAGCATATGGGTCTGTAGGGAGCAAAGGAAAATAGGCTCAAATTAGATTATAGCCAGTTTCTGGAGGCAATTAAATCCCAAACTAAAATATTTTAGGTAATCAGAAGACATTGGAAGCTTCAGAGCAGGAAAATGAATTATGCTGCTAAAAGAAAAAGATCTGTACAGAAATCATTCTTCCTTATGTGACTCTCTAATAATAAAATACCAGGAGGTTAATTTTTAGATATATTTTTAAGAAAAATTACATTGTTAAAGTGTTTAATTGCTCTAATCATTTTATATGCAAATAGTTTTCAACATCACTAATGGAGAATAATATACGCCCTCAGTGTCAATGTCATTTGGAAAATGATGAAGTATTTTAGAAAAGTTGATGTATATTGTCAAAGCATTGTAAAAACATTATTATTTAAAATTATAGAATTGTGGAGAGAGATCTCATTTTTAACCTGGGACTAGAGTTCAGCAAGTGAGGGAGGCACAAATCAGTGCTCTGCGTCTAGCTAAAGGATTGTAAACACACCAATCCACACTCTGTAAAAACACACCAATCAGCACTCTGTGTCTAGCTAAAGGATTGTAAACGCACCAATCAGCACTCTGTAAAATGGACCAATCAGCACTCCGTAAAATGGACCAATCAGCTGTCTGCAAAATGGACCTATCAGCAGGACGTGGGTGGGGACAAATAAGGGAATAAAAGCTGGCCACTCCAGCCAGCAGCGGCAACCCGCTGGGGTCCCCTTCCACGCTGTGAAAGTTTTGTTCTTTCACTCTTCACAATAACTCTTGCTGCTGCTCACTCTTTGAGTCTGCACTACCTTTATGAGCTGTAACACTCACCAAGAGGGACTGCGGCTTCACTGCTGAAGTCAGCGAGACCACGAATCCACCAGGAGGAGCAAACAATTCCGGAAGGGAGGAACAAACAACTCCGGACGCACCACCTTTAAGAGCTGTAACACTCACTGTGAAGGTTTTTGGCTTCACTCCTGAAATCAGTGAGACCACGAACCCACCAGGAGGAGCAAACAACTCCAGACGCGCCACCTTTAAGAACTGTAACACTCACGGCGAAGGTGTGCGGCTTCATTCCTGAAGTCAGCAAGACCACAAACCCACCAGAAGGAACAAACTCTGGACACATCTGAACATCTGAAGGAACAAACTCTGGACACACTGTCTTTAAGAACTGTAACACTCACCGCAAGGGTCCACGGCTTCATTCCTGAAGTAAGCGAGACCAATAACCCACCGGAAGGAACCAATTCCAGACACAGTGGCATGTGCCTGTAATCCCAGCTATCTGGGAGGCTGAGGCAGGAGAATCGCTGGAAACCAGGAGTTGGAGGCTGCAGTGAGCCAAGATTGTGCCACTGCACTCCAGCCTGGAAGACAGAGCAAGACTCCATCTCAAAAAAAAAAAAAAAAAAAAAAAAAAAGAATAAGCATACATAAAAGGAAATGTATAGATATGACAGTTTTTAGGATTATTAGATGCAAATTATCAAGTACACTGAATAGATAGCTAGCTATAGATAGGTAGATGTTAACTAGATAGACAATCTGCACAGATATATGCAGAGATTAAGAAACTAAAAGTTAACTATAAAATTACCTCCTGATGTACCAAAATAGGTGTGGAAGATGCAATGATTCAAATTTAAAATTCAAACGATGGTTTAAACACTGTTTTGACAAAGCTGAGGAAGGAATTATAATTGAAAGGATATAATAGAAAAAATTATCCAAAACGTATTACACAGAAAAAAAGATTGCAAACATGTAAGAGGTTAAGGGACATAGAAAAAGAAGTGAAAGGTTCTAAAATGTATCTAATTGATGTCTCAGAAAAAGGGAAGAGAGAGAATCTGGGGAAGGTTAATATTTGAAAAGACCAAGATTGAAAGACTTTCAAAACTCTTGAAACAGCCAGAGGTCCATCAAATCCTAAGCACAGCAAATAAAAAAATAAATCTTCAACTGGCCACATCAGAGAGAAGCAGAATAATACCAATAAAAGAGAGGCTCCTAAAAGCAGTCAGAAGTGAGGGGAAAATATGGTTTATCAGAGAAGTTAAGTGGCAGTCGACTGGACTGCAATATTGAGAATCAGGAAGCAGTAGAATGCCTTTATTGTAATTTAAAATAAAATAATTGTCATAATTATATACTAAGAAAAATTCCTTCAATAATGAAGAGAAAATAAGAACATTTTGGATTTATTTTAAAGAGGTTACATCACCAAATCAAAGAATATACTTCAGAAGTAAAATGGTTTTATATGAAAAATCTGAGATGTAAGAGAGAATGAACAAAAATGAATTGTAAAAATGATGAAAATAAAAATGAGGGTTGGCCCTGTATAGCAATACTAACAGCATCTTATAGGTTTTCAAATAAATAAGATAAAATTAAAATTCACTACAACATGACAAGGTCAAGAAAAGGCTAGATGGATGTAAGATGCTTTAAAATGTGTATGTTTCCTGAGAAAAAGGTAAAGGTATTGACTAATGCAAGACTTTGATACATTTAGTAGAATATTCTGTTATTTCTATGGTAAGACTTAAAGGAAACAGAGTATATCTTAAAATCTGGTGAAGAGGTGGGAATGGAATGATAAACCATGAATAGGTAGATAGGAAAAATGGGGGGATTGAAGGACTAAGAATTTGCCAGATGAGTAGAAAGAGACCACAAATGTGTCCTGGTGGGGAAGCCAAGGAGGAATTTTTTTCAAGGAAAACATGGTCAGCAAGGTCAAACACTAGAAGGACCAGCAAGTTAAGAAATTAAGAGGCCACTGAACTTAGGAATAAAAAAGATACCAAAGAGCCCATTGCATTTAATGAGTTGTTTTACAGGACACCAGGTTAAAGAGAGCTAAGAAGTCAATGAGAAGAACAAAAAAACAAAAACACCCCAGACTGTATATGTCATCATAATTTACAATAATTTTGCCTTAATGTTACAATATACTTTATTCCCAATTCCATTGCCCTCTATTTTGGCCAAAAAAAGCACAATATAGTAATTGCTTATGACTTCAGTATTGGGCTTTTGAAAATTCTATTACCTGAATTTTGCATATTTATGACAGAGGAATGGAACTGAATTATCACTTTATATTACTATTAAACAATTTGCTTAGAACAACATATACCAAGAAATCATTTCCTGTTTCTGTTTGGATAAGATACTCAAAAAGTTTTCTGTCCATCTGAGTTTAATTCTTGTTAATCCCTATTATGGGTAACTAAAATAGTTTTTTATGAATATTACCATTCTTCAACATAAATAAGACTTTCAAAAAAATTAACCTTGAAGGAAAGGAAATGTAGGCATGGTATTTCATAGGAGGTGTTGCTTCAAGTGAGAATTGACTCATAATTGACTCATATTGGTGTGTGAAGTCAATAGAAAGGGTGGAAACAAATGGCTCACAGGTATAGAAGAGGCAAATATGGCTCAGAGAAAATGGAATCCAGAACGCAGGTAATTGAACTAAATTTGGGAAAGTGGAAAGAAAGCTATTATCTAAATTAGCTAACTACATGCAGGACACATGACACATATTTTAGATTATTCAATCTTCATAGCAACTCTATGCAACTGTATTATCTCCATTTAATAAATTAATGAAGGAAATAAGCCACAAAAAGTGAATGTAGATATTTTTAACTGGGGGAACAGGACATTGGGTGCATTTATTTATCATGACTTTTTCAAAAAACTGGGTGGAAGGACATCTTATTCTTAATTCTGTTAGTGAGAGGTGGAGAAAGAAGCAGCCTCTGAAAGGAGGAAGCTAACTGTGTGAAAAATGAGACAGAATTGTTATATCATTTAAATGAATTATTGCATAGAGATGACGGGTCAGTTAATGTAGACGAGACTTTCCAGAACCCAAGTGTCGGAGTAGACAAGTTGAAGAGGGATCCAAAAAGATCCAAAAAGATGAGCAAGGATACAATAAAATTTAGTCTCGTTGGCTAGATAGTGATTAAAATGATAGGCCATGATGTCTAAACTAGACAAAGAAGCAGCTTAAAAATGAGGGTGGAACATATAATTTTGAAGAAAATGGAGTCATTATGAATTGTGAAAAATGTAGGTAACTGGAAGGACAGCAAATTTCACCCAAGAACAGACAATGAAATTATTCACAAAAACTTCTTTAATCTCCCTACCTAGAATTTCAGTCTTTTCTGTGTTTATGTAGCACATCTACCTTTCTCACAACATTGACATAGTATGCCCTTTGCCAAAATAATTTGTATATGCATATGATTTCCTTTGGTAGATTATTAGAAATTGAGACTAGAGTACATATGTTTAAAAGGTGTAATTAATAGATGCTTTATATTCTGATGGCTTTACTATACCTAGAATATTTTTGGTTATACAGGTCATATAGAATATTGGTGGCTCCCATCTATTTCAGTTATACAAATCCATCTCACCACCAGAAATATCTACAGGTCAAAACCTTCTGATTATTGCTCAGGTCTGTTGCCTATCATAGTAACCAAACTCACTTTGCCTCTGGAATTCAAAGGCTTTTATTTGGCAGTCTCTGAGCCTTCATGTACCATCTTCCTATTGACTGTGGAAAAGAAACACCTGTCTATTGCCATTGCAGGGTTAAAGGAGCTAAAAACCAAACTCAAAATTTGACCTGTGGACTACTAAATAATTTACTTGAGCCATCTTTTTCTTCATATTGTTTCCTTTGGAGTCAGTCTGGCATGAGTGTGTGTAATTGGTAGACTCTAAGGCACGTGTCTATAGTCAAACTGCAAGGAAGGACAGAAAGTGAGTTTCTTGCTTCTGTTTTGGGGAGAATGTACAAATAATCTGGCAATTTCTGGAGCTGATATCAGCTGTGGCTACAACAGTAGAAGAAATAGTAAAACTCCTACACCGCTGTCAATAAATAATAATGGAAATAAGTATAAATATTGATTAATGTCAATACACTAATTGTTTCAAGCTAATTGCTTTAAGATTTTATAATAATAATTGATAATTGGGCCTCCTGATATGGGAGCTTCTGAGAAGCCTTTCAGCAATCTCTGCTAAATTAGCATGAGTCACAACAGATGGTAAAGCAGCAATACACATTCCTTAAAAAGCACTGGATGATTTATGGCAGTCCTAAGTTTATTATTAGATTGGTGCAAAAATAATTGAATTTTTTGCCATTACTTTTCATGGCAAAATATAATACTATTTGCCAATTCTGTAGTTGCTTCTTATCCTAAATAGGTTAATTTTGAATGAATCTGATTAGTAATATACAACCCATTCTGGGTAATTCTCATGTAAGTAGTAAATACACAGTATATAAAAAACTCTAAAATGTATAAACACTATATTAAAAATGAACACCCATAATTAAGAGAAAACAATGTCTGGATATGTTTAGACATTATGATACATTGAATAGAATTTTTAAAGTATCAAATATCATAAAACAATGGTATTAATAAAGTACTACAGTTTGTAAAGTCTTCTAATGTTCTGCAGAAATCACTACATCCTGGAGCATCTCTTGAATCTGTGTGATAATCAGTGCAAACAAAACAAAAAGATTTCTATTTCTGGAACGAAAAACTCCTTGACAATTTCAACAAAAGTGTATTTGTGCTGTGACTAGCGATCTACAGGAAATGATGCTTAGGTGTTTTATTATTACAAGTTGAAAGTGCTGAACATATAAATACTTTATCAAAATGGTAATTCCATTCTGTTAAAGCTTAAGACTGAAATACCAAAAAGTTTTAATCATCAACAAGAAAAATTTTTAAAACACCATGAATCTATGTAATTAAAACAATAACTTTTGTAAAAATAATTAGTCAAAAAACAGATTAAAATCATTTTAAAGAGCCATTAACTTTAAAAAAAATTTTTTTATTTACTGAAAATAATCTAAAATATTTAGAAATTATGATACATTGAACAGAATTTTTAAAGTACCAAATTGGTGGACTGCAGCACCCTAGAGTTTATCTTATTGCAAGAAGTGATGTACCTACTGAAATGAGAAAACAACATTTTAAAAAATATTGTGATTAAGACAGTGAAACTTCAATTACTATCAACTTATATTCAACGGTTTCCCCTAAATAAATTGTAATAATTTATTAAAAACTTAAATTCTAGCTCAATTGTGCTAAAATAAATATGAGTTAGATTGTATATCAAATTTATTATCAATGCCTGAGGGAAAAAGAACAATAAGGAAAACACATAAGTTTAAAAATCCTATTTGTTTTTTGATTCTATGTAAATAGTACTAGTGTAATTTTAATAAGAAAGTCTGTTTTTTCAGCCCAATTTTTAAGATAATAGTTCTGTATTTTACATTAGTACTAATCTAAATCTTTGGATGTTGCCTTAAGAAAGTAAATAAATTAAATATTTTCTTGGTGAACTTTATATTTATTACTGTCTATTACATGAACAGTGTAGAATTAAAGCATATATCAGATTCCATATGAACTTGAATAATGAAAATTGGAAGAATAAATAGTCCTCAAAGTTGTGGCTTTACTACTGAAGTTGCAAAAACACTTTGGAAAACTTCAAGCCATTTGATTTTATAAAAGTTGAGAAATGAGTGTAAGCATTTTGAAAATGAAAACTCTTTTAAACCTTTAGCTTTAATGTGCAATATTATCATTAGTGTGTCAATCTCTTCCTTATTTTTCAAGAAAAAAATGACTCATATAAAACTAAAAAACAGACACTTTGAGAGAGTAGTAGGGGCCAACAGGAAAATAAACTAGGCTATACCGTGTGAAACTAAGACAAAAATAGAGTTTTTATTCTCAGAAAAAATAGATCACCGAAAATATTATATAAAAAATTTCTTTGCTTTTGGAGAGCAAAAATGAAAAATATCGTGAACTTATCATTTCTTTCAACTTTTGAATCCTGAAACTCAGCCAAATATTTGCAATACTTTTTAAAGAATAAAAGTAAATAGAAATTAAATATCATCATGCCAACTAAAGTGTCACTTCAATAAATTATTTATGAAACAGTTAATCAGAAAGTTATAGAATATGTAAAAATTTCTGTAGTATTACAACAAATTATAATTTTTAAAATAATAGAATTGTTATTGTTTTAACATAAGCTAAGAAAAGATTTAGCATCTCAAACAATATTGTTGATGCTATGAAAATTCCTCTACTTAACTCTGGTGCAATTCATTTCACCGTATGAAATGAACACCATTATATGTTCATTTCACAAGGAAGTTGTCAAAAAAGTTAGATATGGTTTCCTATGTCAAGTCATTACTCTTCAGGAGTAACATATCTATTAATAACCATGTTATACAAAAAAATCATGCCAAAAATTTGTGACAATTTTAAAAATTATTTGACATAGTATTTGTGGTATAACCTAGATTATGGAGTAAGCATTTTTATAATGTATATGTATTGACTGATTTTTTTAAAGAAAAAAGGAGATACTTCATGAAATTTAAATTTGTATATTAATTTATTACTATACTATTGGGAAATGTTACTCAAACATAACTAAGCTGTATAAAAAAATACTAGTAAACATGGCAGTGACAAATGTCTACCATAACCATTTTCCATATATGGGTGCAGTGGCTCATGCCTGTAATCCCAGCACTTTGGGAAGCCAAGGCAGGAGGATCACTTGAGCCCAGGGGTTTGAGACCAGCCTAGGCAATTTAGTGAGATCCCCATCTCTAAAAAAAAAAAAAAAAAAAAAAGAAGTCAACAATCCCTGCTCTCTTGGAACTCACATTGCAGTAGGGGTGGAGGGAGACAGATGATAAACAAAATAAATCTACTGTACTGCAGAAACTTGTCACAGAAGCAACACTAAAGAGCTTGGAAGAAATAAATGACTGACATCTATCATTTTAAAAACAAAACAAAACAGATTATGAAGGCATCTCAGGGCCTGGAGTGAGGGCAGTCAGGTGTTAAACTGGAATCCCCCCAAAAGCCCGATTCTTCCAGGTCCTATTTCTGCCCCACAAGCTGGAGGAAGAATGGTGTGTTTTTGTTTTTCCCTACTGTTAAATGTTTGGAGACACAAACTTAGAGTTCTAATAAGGAATTGCATTTCCTTCTCTGCCAGAAACAACAACAACAACAACAACAAAAAACCATTATCATCATTTAAATCATCAAAAATTGTTAAGAAATTACTTGCATGCATTTAACATGCTTCCTCTATGTATCCCCAAATAAAATATCTGTTAAGGCAAATCACATAAGGCCGAGTACACATAAAAAAGCTCAGTTTACTTATCTCAATTTCCCAGTAGTTATTAAGAATATTAACGACAAATGCAATAAGGGTATAGAGCTTAAGTCTCTTCTTTGAGCTTGGTGTATTTATCCAAGAGACCAAGCTTAGCAGGGTCTCATGAGAGCTCCTACCAGTACTTTTCACCCATTCCTGAAGCAGAGGTCACAGAATAGCAGCAATAATCCAACACAAATGTACGAGCACTGAGAGACTGACTCCAGTGATCCTCCTGTGTTTCTGCACTATCCCAATGGCCCTGTGCATCTCTAGAGGCCATTGGGCTTCTGAGGCTAATAAAATATTATCATAGACCCTTTGGTTCCAAGAAGAAATAAACTCTGTACACAATCTTCTCCCAGCAAGCAGAGTATAATCTCAGGGAAGAGATAAGGCACACTACTTACACCCTTTGATGTCTTTTCAAAGTAATGTTGCCATGACAAATCAATCCATTACAATACCAAAATGCTCTTCTTTATTTCATTGCCCATTTGTAGTTCCATCTCTTAAGTTAATTTTATCTGTTTTATATTCCTTGATATTGAAGTGACATTAATTTAGTAATGTACTTTTTAATATAGGTGTAATTGAAGTGCACATTGGAGAGTCCTGCTTCTTAAGATCTAGATATGATTAGTTTGATGCCCTAGTTCACATCTTCTGGAAAATTTCAATGCCATTTCTGAAATGAATGCAAATTTTGAGTGCCATCAGATTTTAGTTTTTCATTTCATTAAGTATTTATGATTTGTTTTATACTTAGCTCAGTTCCTTGGTTGCTACTACAATAAAACAACTTAACAGGCTTTTGCTTGCCACATATTTTCCTAAAGGTTTAGGGGAGAGCTCAGGGGAGGATGGTTACATTTCAGGAACTAAAATCACATAAAATATTAGCCATCCCTGTTCTTGACATTTTTTCCCTCAAAACATGTAATTTTTCTTTATTATCTTCTTGCTCACTTCTTTTCTGTGACTTTTCATGTGCTCTTGCCATGCCCGTATTTCTGGTATTGTTATTTACCTATCATTAATTGACATACAATGCATGCACATAAACACCTAAGAATGATTATACAGTGAAACTTAGTTTCCTATGCAAAATTCCCAACATTATTCTCCAGAAGAGTCTATAGTCAGTATTTTATTCACTCTTTTGGAAATGTTTACACATATAAATTATATTTAAATAATACTTGATATTTAAATATTTGATAATATGAGATCATACTATAAACAGTTTTACCTCTTATTTTTCCTATTTTTCCACCAAATAAGTAACTAAATATCTAATAATCTTTTCAAATCAACATATTTAGTGCCACTACACTCTTTTTTGAAAGATGCAGAATATGTCAATGTACAGGTTTACCATAATTTAGTAAAGCATATATCTGATGAAGTTTAGACTCTTCCCAATTTTCTGCCTTTATCCAAAAAGTGCTGTAATGATACCATTTTTGTTTACATTACAAATAAAATGTCTACAGTTTAAATCAATGGATCAAAAGATTTATGCATTTTAAATCTGACACACATAAACTTGCCAAATTTCATTTCAAAGAATTTACACCAATTTACAAACATAATAAACAGTGTATAAATCTTTGTTTACCCAAGTATGTACTATAAAACTTTGGAAATTTGCTACTCTAATGGGTGAAAATCGTAATCTTATGTTTGAATATGAATTTCTTTAACAAGGAACTATTTTTAAACGTCTGTACTTATATTAGCACAGTTCTCTCTGTATCTCCAACAAGTTGTTAGCCAGTGTTACTGGCTTACATTTTGTCCGTCATATGTGCTGTGAATATTTTCCCAGTTTATCATTTGTCTTTTCATTTTTTCTATGGTACTTTTCTCTTGCAAAACAATTAAACCATTCTATTTTAATAGAGAAATTCCTTTTTAAAATTTTGTTTCTTGTATCAAAAAGTCTTATTCCCAAATTTTTAATCTAATTACTCACATTTTCTCCTGTTCCTTTTACATTGTTACTGATTTATAAAACATTGATTCAGTGAAAATATATTTTGGCATAAGTAATGAGACAGCAAGCAAAGCTATTTTTTCCAAAAAGCCTACTCTTGTAGAACATGAGCTTTCTGAAGGGGAGAAAAAGCAAAAGACAGATGATACTGTTTACATAAAACTCACATTGCTTCTTCCTTCTGCTCTCAAATAAGAATGTGGCCATGCTGGCTTTGCTTCACGTTCTGGAAGAGCTATCATTCTGTTAACTTAGGGTACATTTGTTTCCAATTTCTTAACGTGTTATTTTTATATTATTTATTTTTATTTGTTTTCTATTTTCTTTTTATTTTCTGTTACTGTTTGCATTTACAATTTTTAATTTGAGTAAATTCAGAAAAGTCTAGAAAATACATGAGATAAATGAGTAAAACACTCATCCCACAACTATAGATATCAACTTTTACTGTTTTGAGGTATATCACTCAAATACATTTTTATACTTATCTAAAATTATAAGTAGATGGAACCAATATTTAAATTTTTCTTAAAAATTAAATAACAAATATCCTTTTATGTTCAAAATATATACACTTGTACACACACACCAAAATGACTAATATTGTTAGTGACACCAGATAACTGTATTTTTTCCTACAATCTTTTTTTTTTTTTTTTTTTGAGACGGAGTTTCACTCTTGTTGCCCAGGCTGGAGTGCAATGGCATGATCTTGGCTCACTGCAACCTCCGCCTCCCAGGTTCAAGTGTTTTCCTACAATCTTTATGTGAACAAAGAATTACTTTCAAGATTTTGCCTTTATTTAAAAAGAAAAAGAAACACAGATCTTCATGCATAGATTATTTTGTTTTCTCCCCTCTACTTTCCTTTCCCACCCTACTCCCATTAGCTAAACAACATTAATAATCTGGTTATATAGCTAAATGAATACTTGAATATGTTTTATGTATTTTTTAGGTATTTCTCAATTAGTAACACTTCAGAGAAATTCTTCTAGTTCATCAGTTATGTATAAAACATATTCTACTTAATAGTTGCATAATATATCACAGTCTGACTGACTGTACTATAATTATTTTAAATACTTTCATAATAATAGTTATTAAAATTCTTCACAATTTTCTTTAATGTATCCTTCTCTCTTGCTGCTTTTCTTCCACTAATCAGATTTCCCAAAAGTGGACTGCTGGCTCCAATTATTCATTCATGTTAAATTTTAATAGCAATTGTATGGTTGCTTTCCAAAATTATTATATTAATTGGCATTTCCATCAGCATACATATGCAGCATAACATATGCCTAGCTTTCCTAATCTCACCAGCACTGAATGCTACCAGGTTTTTTTTTGTTGTTTTTTTTTTTCAGACAGAATCTCGCTCTGTCACCCAGGCTGGACTGCAGTGGCACAATCTTGGCTCACTGCAACCTCCACCTCCCGGGTTCAAGTGATTCTCCTGCCTCAACCTCCTAAGTAGCTGGGATTACAGGTGCACGCCACCACACCCAGCTAATTTTTGTATTTTTAGTAGAGACGGGGTTTCACCATGTTGGTCAGGCTGGTCTCAAACTCCTGACCTCATGATCCGCCCGCCTCGGCCTCCCAAAGTGCTGGGATTACAGGCTTGAGCCACCACACCTGGCCGAATGCTACTAGTTTTTAAATGTTTTATTGCAGAATTATTATGCAGAAAAGTATACAAATCATACATATACAGCTTAATAAACTTTAACAATATGAACACACCTAAACAGAATGTTAAAAGCATTACAGAAGCCTTCCTTGTAGATCCTCCTAGCACAGGTGGCCATTATCATGATTTCTAATAACATAGCCTGCCTTTGACCACTTGTTAAATTTGTATAAAAGTAATTAAATAAAGTATGAAATCCTTTGTGTTTGCCTTATGTTCCTCAAAATATTTGTAAGATTCATTACTATTGTTGCATGCATGCAAAAATAGTTTCTTTTAATTGCTCTATAGTACTTAACTCTGTGAATATAGAATTTGATACTTTGTTTATCCAATGTATTGTCAATGTACACTAAAGTCGTATTCCAATTTTTAGCTCTTATGAATAGTGCAGCAAAGAATATTCCAGTGCATGTGTTTTGGCAAACATATGCTTGCATTTCTGTTGGCTCTACATCTAGAAATGGAACTCCTTGGTAATAAGGCTGAATTATTTATCTATTGTCTACATTTCCAAAGAGCTTTCTGAAGAGACTTTACCAATTTATACTCCTACTCATGCAGTGCTTGAGAGTTCTAGTTGCTTCAAATCTTCATCAACATTGGTTTTTTTTTCATTTTACTTTTAGCTATTTGGTAGTGTGTAGTTATATTACATTATTTAAATTTTATTTGCTTAATCATTCATGGTGGGGAACATATCAACAGATATTCTCTAAAATTACTAAATCAAGAAATAATAATATTAAAACCATTTGGAGATGTAAAAACTATATGTAAGTCTCAGAAACTATCAAAAATACAACACATACATTATCACCGTTAAAACCATCACTGTAACCCCAACCACCAAACCAAGGGAAGCATAGACTAGATATCTAAAGTAAAAAACAAAGTCCATATTCAATATAGAAAAAAATATCAGAATTAAGGAGTATACATTCATACCAGATCAATCAATATAAAAGAGATGAGTCAATTAAAAAATGTAGACTTAGATTAAAATCAAAGCCCGATAATGTGTTGTACAAAAGAAATATGCCTCATAAAGCAAAACACAGATACTGAAGTGAAAAAAATTGATAGATGTAACATAGAAATGAAAATTAAACGAAAACAGGTTTGTAATATTATTACCAAATAAAGTCAAATTCAAGGCAAAAATAAAGATTCAATTGTCATGAATTTTCTTTTGCACCAAGTAAGGTAACATCAAAATTAATTTTGAATAAACTCTATGAGAAATTTAAGGAATACAGGTAAAAATAAATCATAAAATAGTCACCAGAAAATTTTAACTTGTCTCTCAATCTATGAAATATAAAGCGGGTAAAAATAATTAAAATGGAAAAATCAAAATTGTAGACTTTGTAATATCAATTTTTATCAGAAATTGATATAAATGTTTTTCAGATGTTTATTGAGATAACTATATGCTTTTTCTTTATTAAGTTTGTTAATATAATAAGTTACATTTATAGATTTTCTAATGTTAAGTCAAAATAATCCCACTGGGTCATGGTGTATTTTCTTTTTAATATAATGCTTCTGAGGAATATACATCTGTAGTTTTAAAGAACTTAATTTTACTCTTACCTTCCATCTTTTCTCACCATCACATTTTGGCTGGTTTGATTATTAAACCAGAATATTTCTTTATGTGATACATAGACACCATCTACATGGAATTACCAAGGGTAATTATTTACCAGGCAGTTTCTTGGGCCCAGATGAGAATTTCAATTCAGAATCTGTAAGAATAGAATAGGATCTAAGAATAAGCATTTTAACATGTATCAGAGATTTTCATACATGCTAAAATTTGATCTTGTTTGTTCCATTCTCATATATATATATTTAATCTTTATAGTTAAAATGTATAAGTTGGTTTAGCTGCTTTCGACATTGTCAATTTAGCTATTATTACTTTTAAAAAATGTGCAATTTCAGTTTTTCCCAATTTGCCTTCACAAACTCTGGTAGTTTTGGTGTCATGGTATTATTTCTATATTAACAAAGTTATTAACATGTGCATTCTGGATTCTAATCATAACTTTCATATTTTGTAGAATTATTTATGTATTTAAAATAATTTATTGATATATAGTTGAGTCTTTTATTTAGGTTGATGCAAAAGTAATTGCGGTTTCTGCCTTTAAAAGTAATGGCAGAGGCTGGGCGCGGTGGCTCACGCTTGTAATCCCAGCACTTTGCGAGGCTTACCTCCTCACCTGAGGTAAGGAGTTCGAGAGCAGCCTGGCCAACATGGTAAAACGCTGTCTCTACTAAAAATACAAAAATTAGCCAGGCGTGGTGGCACGTGCCGTACTCCCAGCACTCGGGAGGCTGAGTCAGGAGAATCGCTTGAACCCAGGAGGTGGAGGTCACAGTGAGCTGAGATTGCGCCACTACACTCCAGCCTGGATGACAGAGGGAGGCTCCATCTCGGAAAAAAAAAAAAAAAGTAATGACAGAAACCATAATACTTTTGCAACAACCTATATCAGATACGACAATTTCTGCCTCCTAAATTAAGGCATTTAGACTATTTACATTTTAAAAATGTTTTCAGAAACAGCATATCATTCTGTCACCCAGGCTGGAGTGCAGTGACAGGCTCATAGCTCACTGCAGCCTCAAACTTCTGGGCTCGAGCAATCCTCCTGCCTCAGCCTCCCAAGAAGCTGGGACTACAGGTGCATGCCACCATGCCAGGCTAATTTTATTTTGTAATGTTTTTAGAGATGGGGGTCTCACTATGTTGCCCAGGCTGCTCTCACATTCCTATACTTAAGTGATCCTCCTGCCTCCGGAGTCGCTGGTATTACATAGGTAAGTGCTACTAGTTTCTGCCTCTACATTTACATTCAACATAATTGCTGATGGCATTAGGAGTAAGTGAACTTGGTTTTTAAAATATTGTTTCTTCCTCACCACAATGCCTTTGGTGACTCCAATTACATATATGTAAAGCCATTTGAAGTTGTCCCACAAATCACTGAATCTCTTTACATTTTTAAAATTCTCTGTGTGTTTCCTTTTGCATAATTTCTATTGCTGTGTCTTCAAGTTTACTAATCTTCTGAAATTTCTAGTCTGCTGTGAATCCCCTCCAATATAGTTTTTATCACAGATATTGTAATTTTCATCTCCAGATATTTGGTCTCGATAACTTTTTATAATTTCCATACATCTACTTAAATTTTTTAAAGTACAGAATAGTTTTATGTGTTAAGCTCTTTGCTTAACACATAACATAAATCAGCTCTTTGCTGATTTGAACACATGTATCAGTTCTGGATCAATTTAGATTGATTTATTTCTCTTTTCACTGTGGGTCTTATTTTCTTGCTTTTTTATGCCTGATAATCTTTGATTAGATGACAGAATTTGTAAATGTTTTCCTGTGTCATCCTATATATATTTTGCCTACTGATAAATGTTTTGAGCTATATTTTGTAATACATTTAAATTTCTTAGAAACAGTTTGATTCCTTCCAGTGCTGCCTTTAAGATTTGTTGAGAAGAATTAGATAAGCATTTTGTCTGGGTCTAATTATTTCTCATTACTGAGGCAAGAACCCTTCTAGGCACTCCACCAACACTCTGTGAATTATGAGGACCAAAATAATCATCTTCCAGTGAGTAGATACCCATTTGACTTACTGAATCTAGGCAAATGGAAAAGTACTGGAAATGTTCTGACCCATTTCTTTAGACTGTTTTCTGCCCTTTACCTTTCCATTCTTACCTTCCCCTCGATGTCTTCCTCTTCCCACAGAAGATAAACACTCTTGCTACAGCACACTCCTCATACTTTTCTACAGCATACCCTCATCCCCAGCTGGGTGAAAATCAGGAGCCAATTAACACAGTAATTTACTATTTAAGCCTCAACAAATGTATGATATAACCGTTGAAAGAAGGAACTCTAATAAGTTATATTTTAAAAATAATTAAAATGTTATTCTGGAGCATTATGAGAGCTTTTAGGTGATTTTAACAAAAATAGTGTTGGTGTCATAAGCTTACTCAGTTCACAGAAGAAGAGGCATATCAAAGATTTTTCCCACCTTGGCCCAGGACCCTTCACTCAGCATTGCATATCCACACTGGTGCAGCCTTTTCCCTCTCCCCTCATCTGTTCCTGATTTGAGCCTGTTCCTGCCCAGGTGCGGATACTTAGTTCCATGTCCCCTTTAAGAGTCTGTTACCTTAGACTTGGCTGTTGCTCTGGATTCTCTAGCTTCAGCTTTAAGCCTTGCCTAAAGCAGATTCACCCACTTGCTTTCTGTGCATGATGATGTTAATTTGTTTAAAGCCATGAATTTTCTGCGAGGATGACATAACTCTGTTGCACCATCATGCAACTATCTTTAAGAATGTGTTGGTGGATAAAATGTATTCAGTAACAGTCTGTACTGTTATAACAAAATACCTGAGACTGGATAACTTGTAAAATTCATTTCTTACCATTCTGGAGATTAGGAAGTCCAAGATCAGGATGGGGCAGGTTTGGTGGTCTGTTGAAGACTATTCTCTGCTTCCAAGATGGCGCCTTATTGCTGCAACCTCCGGAGGGGATATCACTGTGTTTTTATATGGTGAAAGGTGGAAAGGCAAAACAGCCAAATTTGCATGAAGCCCCTTTTATAAGGGATTTAATATCATTCACGATGGAAGGAGCCCTCATAATTTAGTCACGTCTTAAAAGCCCTACCTCTTAATACCATCACATTGGCCATTAACTTTCATCACCTGAATTTTGGAGGAAATATACAAACCACAGCAGATGGTGACTATATCAGGACAAGTGATTATCACTAGTAGCAAAATCGCTAAACCATGTTCAACCATGTTTTGAATAAGATTAGCACCACATCACAATATTGACAGTTCCAAAATGTCATTCATATTTCCTAGTTATATCCACTAAGAAATTATCTTTTGGGGGGCCTGTGCTTTAAAAAACATTCTAATACTCATGACTATAATAAACTGTTTTGTGCTGTCTTGGGATATAATGACAATTATAAGCAATTCTCATGAGGGTCCTTGTAGGTAAGGAATGCCTCCATCTAATTTTAGACTTTTAAGCTAAATATCAGAAAGTAAATATAAAATCCGTATCTTGGAGACAAACCAGATTTGTATAACTCCTGTGGAGCTTTTGAGGTCATAAGTTACTGAGTACACCATATTTGTGGGAAAACTATTGAGGCAATTGTTTAGATGGAATTATCTTTGTAAGTAAGTAGGAAGTTCTTATTTTCAGTAAATTATTTTTCCTGGAATAAAAAGGCAGAAACAATCCTTCAGTGTCAAACCTATATTATTGCTTCAGTGAACATAAAATTACATTATCTATGTTGCCCTAGATCCTGTTGTTACATCCCTCAATATGGTCTGATGGGATCAAGAGATTATTGTAGATGCGTTTTGACTGATGGTATTTGGCTTCAACTTATACACAATGCATGCAGTAGTGCTAACACTATGTATGTCCCTCGAAGTCTTTTGTTTCTCCCTTCTCAGTTGCATTCTGGAAACAAGTTCTGATTTGCTTATACCAGAGAACAGGAATGATTGCACAATAGGTGCCCTCCAACAATTCACAAGTCTTTGGAGGCAGATCGTAGCTTGTGTATCCTAATGGATACTAATCATTTAAAAACGTGTCAGTGTTCAAAATGATAAGCACCAGTTTGACGTCTGTCATTTTTGATTATCAACTGGTTGGGGGAAGTAGGCCACACTCACCAAGGAGCTTTTTCAAACTGCATATATTCAAATTATTTTGTTTACATTCCAGAGTGCATTCTCCTTTCCTCTTCACCCCACTCCACCCACAGCCCAGTGGTAGTTACTCCTGTAGGGACAATGGTGGAAATAAATAGGTCATTTGGAAAAAGGCTAGTCACCACTTTTAGATAGTTAGATGTTCTATACACAGATAATATGTGATATTAGATAATACTGTACGTCAAGAAGATATATTTGTCATTAAATATATGTGTGTATATACATATATGTACTTATTTTTTTATAGTTTGTTAATTTTCTATGACAAGGGCAAAATTAATTTAAAAATAATTATTGACTTGTTATTGTTTTCCTTCATTTATTGTGAAGTTATAGTGCTTTTTAATTTTACTGTTATAACATAATCCTTTGTCATGATCAGCCACGTGGTGTTTTGCAAGTAATTTGTTAAAGTGTTGAAAAATTGGCAATTATTTGTTTATAAAGGAGAGTAGGTTCAGGGTTAGCCATTTTCACTTACTTGCATTCAATTACACAATCTCAAGTTAGCAAGGAAGAGCTGGAGTTACAGATAACATGAATGCGAATTGTTATAACCTGCAGACTATTCTTTTTATAACCTCTTCCATATCTATGAGAACTTGTGGAGTCTGTGGACGTCTTTCAAGTGTACTAAGGCAGAAAAAGGTCAATGGTCTAACAGACAGTTATCTTTGTAAATCCTCAAATCAGTCCTTAGAAACTCCTTAACAAAATTCTTACCTGAGTTTAATATCATGGGATAAAATCATTGAGTTGTTTGCGTTCTCTACTATCTTTGTGTTGTTTCTTTAATTTTTTTGTTTTCTTAAGAAAAAATAACATTTTTGTCTTTTGCTGCCATATATATTAATATTTCATCTCTTATCAATTTGAAAATTTTGAAGACTCTTCTCTCCCTGAGACATTATTATTTCCTTTTGCTCATCCTAGGAAGCTAATCCAGAATTTAGATTCTTCTGTAGTTTTCAGATCATTGTTCCAGTATTGGTATAATTATATCGGATTTATCCTTTCTTCCTCCATTCCAATCAGCCCATTGTAGGAAAAATGGCCTTTATTTATACTTTACTCCTCAGTCTACCTGTACAAATGGGGCAGTTTTAAAGAGTATTTTTGACACCTGAGCCTTGTTAAAAGAAAAGGAAAAGATGTAGTCAATTTGCATCACTGTAACTTTGGAGAACCTACGCAGGTACTAAGGAGAAGATGAGGTTGAAACTAGAAATTACACCCTAAGATTGCCAGACTCTCTGATAGCAACTGAGTGCCATATCCTCCCCTCCATGCTTTCCCCTGTATCTTAGGGATTTGAAACCTAAGAACATTTCCCTAGATCCATGCCAGTAAGGCTAGAGTTGTATAAATTTTGGAAACCAGAAGAGAAGCAAAAGGCATTAATGGATCTACAGTAGAGATGGGCAGGAGTGTGGGCTTAGCGAGCGACAATAAGATTTTATAGATAAATCTGTACTTTTCCTGTACATCATCCACTTTCGTACTGTTCACATTAATAGTAGTTTCTTGCAATTTTGCACTTCCTGGTTTCTTCAATACTAGTGGATACTTTTCCTAACTTTAACTTCCCTAGCTCTTCCAGTGGTTTTATAAGACTTTAATTTCTTGAATTAAATAACTTTCTGCTAGAAATACCTGCAATGGCTTTTCTAGCTATCTGAATCATGACTGCCTCCTCCATTCTTCCCTGGTCATAAAGTTCTAGCTAATTTTGAGTGAGCCATGAATGAAATCTATGTATAGAGCCCTTTATACTTACGCGTGTGTCTATGTTTAATGGCCTCCAAAAAACGAAAGAAAACCAACCTGATTCTGAACAAATATATCTTTACTGGACTCTTGTGTAGCTAAAACCTTCTTTTCCTAGAAGACATATGCTAAAATGGGAAACATTTATGGTTTACAACCTTGCAAATCTATCTTCAAGTCTTGGCTTTAGTAAATACACTTCACTTCATAAACTCAATTTCCTTGAAGGATATTTATTGACTACTAACTTGATGTCAAGAATTGCAAGTATCTGTGATAACCACAATGGTTAAGACAGTCCCTGTCCTGGCCCTCATGATGCTTAAAATCTAGCAGCAAATATTAGTGGAAAAAAAGAATCTATATGAGATAAAAAACACAGGCACAGTCAGGTTCTAAACAACCTTCCATGTCATAAAAAGATGCAGAGTTTATCATATAAGGAGACGTTAAAGTGTTTTCATCAGAAGAGTGATTTGATAAAATCTGAGTTTTTGAAAAATCACTATGGCTAATGAGTTAGAGTCAGATTAGATGGGAAGAAAGCAAGATATAGAGACCAATTAGGAAGTACCTATATTAATCCAGATGAGACATAATAGCAGTCTGGGGAGACAATCATAGCCTGGACCAAGGGAATGGAAAAAAGTAAGTCGATTAAAGAAACACGTAGGAATTAAAACAAGATGTGGGAATTAATTAGATACATGCGATAAAGAGACTTGTAAAGGGTGATTCCAAAATGTAAGGCTTTTGGGAAATAGGTACATAGTAGTGTCATGATTGAGACAGAGAATACGGGAAGACAACGTGGAGGGGAGATGGGATGAGGTGTGCATTGAAATGGCAGGTTCTGTTTGAGATTTGATTTGCTGGTGAGACACCCATGTGGACATGGTCTATTGGCCGGTAGAGATACAGAATTGAAGTTAAGAAGAAAGGTCTTGTCTGAAAAATGAAGATCCACGTATCCTCATATTATGTATTGTAATTGCAGTCGTAAGAGTGGATCCATTGACTCAGGTTCAGGTACAGAATGGAAAGAGAGCTGGACTAACTGTGGAACAGCAGCCCTTATTTTTCTTTTTTAGTTGCATTAGTCTTACTGCCTTGTCTTAGACAAGCACTCTGATATAAAATTCCACACAATTTCTCTCATTTTCCCAACTTTTTAATTGCAACATAAAGCCTCTACATAAAAGGTATTTTATTAATGAATTGACATAATGAATTGGATAAGATATATGTTAATTGAATCATTAATTGGATTCTAATAATTTACTAATACAACATGTAACACAGTAGCATATACATTTCTTACAGTGTAATAATTCACCAAGAGGGAGGGTAAATCTTTAACCACAGTTTTCTATTAGCATCTTAAGCAAAGTGACTGCTACTTAAAAGACAAAAAGGTTATTTTTGAACAATTTGCCTAGTCTAACAGAAAAATGAATCATTTGATTATATATTACAGATATACATTACTTTTTGTTCGCTTCTTAAAGTCTTACACCTAATCTAACATATTGTTTTCATTCTTTTTCAGTATTCCAGAAGTGCAGTGCACTTAAAAACCAGTCCTTTATATCTATCATGGAAGGAATTTAATAGGAGCTATAATATGAATTTTAAATATATCCACAAAGTAAAGCTCTCCAGTTCATAAAATTAATGTTGTAACTATATATCATATGCATGTTGAAGTTTTTTGCTTTAAAAATATATTCACAAATTCTGTCATATTTACAAAAATATGACTAATGAAACTTTAATAGCATCTAAAGACGTATGACTATTTTAACATCTCAGTTGTTATTTTTTATGAACATAGAAGGTTTTTAAGCATCTTTGGTTGGGTACTATTGAAATAACAATTTTATTCATAATATAATTAAATAAAAAATACTGTAGCATCTATGTTCTACAATTTATAGAAACAATTTTTATGTATATATTCATATTATATAAAAATATAGCTAATTATTTTGAAAAGAAGACAAATAACTTATGTGAAACTGGTTTGAAATACAACATTTGCAAGATGAAATGAATCCAGTGTTTTTAGTACCTCTTACAGATAGGTCCATTTTAATGTAATTACATTGTTTTATTTAGTATGAATGGGTCCGTGGAGGATGAATTTCAAAGAAAATAACACTGCAGTGTTCTTTAAATACATGAGAGCTATGTACCTGTGCAAAAATAGCTTGTAAATACTGTGAAATGTTACAACATGCCACAAAAATTATTCTCTAGTCTGATTTAAATTTTAGTGTAGACAAACTTAGCTCCAATAGGAATAACAACAGAAATCATACATGTTCAAAAAGGTATAACAATAAAAGTATCAAGTTGTATTCTTGTTATCTAAATAGTATCTCCATAAAGCGGATGTAACTTGAAATTAGAAATTAAATGATGGTTTGCATTTCCTGTAATTCTGAGAATTTCAGCTTTTGATTCAGAGTTGAAGAAACTTTCACCAAACGTGCAATTGGTTTTAAGAACAATTGGCCCACTGAGTGTTGAGGAGTTCCCCTATCATCTGCCAAAATATTAATTATATAGCAAATTTCAGTTTATCTCCTCGAAGCCATTCGTATAGTTGGCAATCGTTTCCTGCAGCATTCCCTGATGGATTTTGTCTAGAGAATGAACAAAAAAATCAAAATGCGATGAAGGAGAGCCTGTGGCTCCCTGGAGAAATTTCTGTTCAGTGGTGTTTTCATAAGCCAAGCAGGGAGCAGCGAACTGCACACCTCCTCAATCCAGGTCCTAACGTGATTTGAAAGTCAACTTATTTTCCCACCGTCTCTCAGCAATGCTTTGATAATACCAATTTCTTGTTCAAGTTTTCTTCACTCCAGGAAAATAATCAAAAGTACTTCTCTCTGCTTTTACTCATAATGCAACCTACTACCCAACCAACTGTTAAGTAAACCATTTTGTTGCCTTATCTTTGAATTCCAGTATTTTCACACAGGCTCTGCCCAGCCAGTTTTCCAGGAATTAAACAGCAGATGCTTCCATTTAGATCCACTTCTTCTTTAAAATGGGAAATCAGTTTTCACTTGTGAGCCGCCATCAACCAGATTCATAGCTCTGGTCAGAATTCATCCATACATTTTCACACCACAGCTTCCTTAGACATTGGTAGCCTCTGTGAAAGAGTCATTGGGGCCACTGTTCTTTCTGACCTCCAGGTTCTTTTTAGCCTTGAATGTCACGGACACCTCAGAGTGAATGGCATCCAACCGCTGCTCACAGCGGAAGGCCGAGAGGAAAGCCTTTCTGTAGTTGCTGTTCATCCAGCCATAGAGAAGGGGATTGGCAAAAGTGGAGCACATGGCGATGATGTGGAACACTGTGAAGATGAGTTTGTACTCCTTCAGGTCCAGGACCTGGCTGTCAATGTCAACGGCAAGCTGGAAGGCATGGAGAGGCAGCCAGCTGACCGCAAACACCACCACCACACACACCAGCATTTTGGTGGTTTTTTGCCTTCGCTGATGGTAGTGGTCATTTGCAGCTCCAGGACTGACATGGTTCTTCAATTTACTCCAAATGCGAGTGTAGGAAAATGATATAATGCCCAGAGGCAAAACATACAAGATCAACAAGGAAGAAAGACTATAGACAGTGCCATAGATGCTCTTCTCCTCGCCAGGCCACTTTTCAGTACAGGCCACAATCTCAAAGTCCGGGATGATCTCAATCAGCGAATACTCCCGGAAGATGGCCAGGGGACTTGCCAGCAGGGCACTGATGCCCCAGGCCAAGCCAATAATCAGGAAGCTGATTCGCTTGGAGATCTTGCTCTCTAGGTGGTAGACGATGCACCTGTGCCGGTCCAGGGCAATTACTGTCAAGGTGATTGTGGATACTTGTACTGCCAGGCCCTGGGCATAGGGCACCAGGTGGCACAGGACAGGACCCATTTTCCACTCCCCCATTAAGGTATAGGTAAGAGTGAACGGTAGACACAGAGTGTTCACCAAAAGATCTGCCACAGCCAGATTGGCAATGAAAAAGTTGGTTACTGTGCGCATGCTCTTGAATTTGATCACCACATGGATCACCAAGGAGTTGCCAATTACCCCAAGCAAGATGATGGAGCAGTAGGCCAATATGAGAACAACTTGTACCTCAATCAGCTTGGTACTATCTATAAGCTCTGGCTCAGGGTCAGGGACCAGTTCACCTCTAGGAGTTGTTTGTGGCCCGTATTGTTCCACCTTCATTTCTTCCACTGTCTGGTTCTCATCAGCCTCTGCACCTATTGGACCCATTTTCAGTACAGGTCCACTTGGCCTGCAACCAGCACAAGAGTCTACAACCTAAAAAGAAAAAACAAAATAAAACAAAACAACAACAACAAAAACCAATGGAACGAGGAAAACACAAAGGTGAAGCAAAGAAATTTCACAAATGGACTGGTTTAATTTTGGTTAGGGATCAAAATATCCTCTACTCTCTAAAATTGTGCATAGCAAAACATTTTAATGAAATAGACCCTTTAATAAGTCTATTGTCAAATATGGATCAATTAAATCAGGTTTCTGAAATATATGCTATGACGGTAAAGTATAATACCGATAGTATAGACATAATTTCAAAGTGAATGCTATCAAATGGATTAATTTCATTTTAAGTGGAATGAATATTATAAACTTTATGAATTGTATAACCACTATGAATTCATTGAATTAATTTTCAGGTAGATAAAAAAGTAAAGTTTCCTTCATTATCTTGACTGTTTCAAATTTATAAATATACAGCAACAAATTGTATAAGAAAGGGGAACATATTAAAACTATTTGTCTGGTGCCTGAACCTTGGGACTATGAATTATCTCAGATAAACCAAGCAGATTCTGTTTTTGGTGCAGGATTTAGTATTAAAAATAGTATTAAAATATATAGAAGAGTTACTTTTTTAAAATTTAATTTCAATAGCTTTTGGGGTACAAATGTTTTTTGGTTGCACAGATGGATTGTATGGTAGTAAAATCAGATTTTAGTGCATCTGTCACCCAAGTAGTGTACCTTGTACCCAATATGTAGTTTTTTTATCCCTCACTCCCATTCCCACCCTCTCCTTTATGAGTCTCCAAAGTCCATTATACCACTCTGTATGCTTTTGTGTACCCACAGCTTAGCTCCTACTTACAAATGAGAACCTATTGTATTTGATTTTCCATCCTAGTTACTTCACTTAGAATAATGGTCTCCAGCTCCATTCAATTTGTTGCAAAAGACATCATATCATTCTTTTTTACAGCTGAGTAGTATTCCATGGTGTATTACATACCACGTTTTCTTTATCCACTCAATGCTCTAAGGAAACTTGGGTTGGAACAGTTGCTTTTTTGAATGATCTTAAATAAACTTCTGAACTAACATATAACATTTCATGCTTTCTCAAAATCTCTGTTAGCCTCTACATTTAAGAGAACCCGCAGACTAGTATGTTACATATCTCTTCCACCTATTTTCTCATCGTTTCTACAACATTGGTTTTATTCTTCTTAATCTCTTATCATGATTACTCTAATCATCTTCTAACTTACCTCCCATCCTCTTTTGCTTTTATTTATTAATTAATTCATTCACCTAACAGAAATAATCGAGTGTCTACTCAATGCCAGGGGTGGCTTTACCATCCTGGCGCCTTTACTTCTTCAAACCTGCATGCATCATGCATTTAAAAACCTATGTCTTGAACTAGGGTTTTTGCCGGGTGAAGACAAGAGGATAGTACCTCTACTCTAAGGCTCTCACATTTTACTGGACAATGCCTACTCTGATATTAAAATTTTTTTTTCTGAAATTCAAATGTGATCATATTGTTTTCCTCAATGTCTCCAGATTGTTTGAAACAATTACGATGTATTTTTTTAATATAAGTTTCATTTTTTCAGTCTGTTAAAGCATTCAGAGCCCAACACCATGGTGGTAGTACCTTTCAAATATGCTCATAATCACAAAAGGCTGCCACTGTTCATTCAGAGCTTCTTTTATGAATTTGTTTTTATGAACCTTTCAATGAATGTGTTTGTAATTAATAGCATCTAACACCATTGGTAGGAAAGTCATATATTTATTCAGCCCACAGATAATGCTTGGCTGGGCCTATGTGCCCCCCAGCTCCTTCCCTCACTGTTCCTCTGTTCTGTTCTGCTCTGTACCACAGGAGGGCTGACTCTCACAGAATACATTTTCAAGCTCCAAGTCCTTGGGATTCTGGCTGGGTTTGGTCGGTGGGAGGCACTGGCAGGCAGCAGGAAGGGAGAAGCCACTATATTCTTCTTCCTCCCTCTCTGCTCTTGGCAGTGCCTCTACAGCAGTTCTGTAGCTCTGGTTTTCATAGGACAGACCTATTGTGATTCTGATTCCAGAGGGTGTCCCTGTTCCGGGGGCCTTGGTCACACTACCTCTTCCTCATATCCATCCAGCTGGAGGCAGTAATGACTTCCTGCTCTTGGTAATCCCTAGGTAGTCTCAACATCCATTGTTTGGCTTCCATCACTTGTTTAATCAACTATCTGAATTAAATTACTCCTTTTTTACATTCTTGAATAGATTCTGTTTTGCATGATCTGATAATAACATACATGTATGCTTTCATTAATTTGCTCTCCCACCAAAGGATCTGCACCCACAGGTTGACAACACTGGCCTATAGAAGAAAATCCCAACTCCTTAGCCTGACATTCGAGGCTTTTCTTGAACTCATCCCTGCATATCCCTCTGGCCTCATCTCTGCTGACAGCCCAATATATACTGTCCACTTCTGTCATACTGCCTTACTTCCAATTCCAGTAACACCTGAGCCTTTTTCATGCCTCTCTGCCCTCCCCGTTTTAAACTGGGAAGCCTCTCAGTTACCCCAAGCCCCTGTGCTCACTTCTAATGCCGCATGTACCACATGCCACGTTGTGACTGTTTTCCTTCGTTTACCCACCACAGCAATCTCTTTGAAGACAGAACCTAGACCTTCTTCCTCCATTGTTTAATCCCTAGCACACTATATAGCATATTAAAGGTACTCAGCAATTTGTCAGAACAAATATAAAGCTAAAGGAAAGCACAATTATACTGAATAATCAATGTCAGCCAAATGGAAAGTATAATTTTGATCCTTTCCTTTACTGAAGACAACTGCCTATGTAGGGTTCTTCCCTATGACATAACATCCATATGCTTATTTTCTTATTCTTAATCAGATAACTGCTTATACAAAAAAAAAATTGTCCTGAGACCCTGTTAAATTAATTCCTGATTATAACATTTTAAATTGTCAGTATAACCCATAAAGAAAACTTTCTGTTTCAAAGGTTTCTGCTCCCCCAACTCTCTTTCTCCCGCTCCATTTATCTCACTTTTTTTTCTCTTTCCGCATCTTTCCCTCACTCTCTGTCTCTCACCACTCACCCTTCCACAGGAGCCTTACTATACAGAGAGACATGAGAGTTTCCATGTACTCAGGTGTTTGCCGTACTGATATATTCCTGCTCCCTCTGCATAAATTTCACATAGAACATTCCAAGGAGCCCCAGCCTCTTTTCACATGTGCCTCCACTCCTTAGTAATTAGAGAAATCTGAAACAAATCATTCATATCTTGGAGTGTATGTTTGATAGCCCACACCATATCCCCTAGACTAAGAAAGAGACTGGTTTTAGAGTACAGTTACTCAATCCTGACAAGCCATTTAGCCATTTACAGAATTAAAGAGACTCCAAGAGGCTGGAGTTTGGAGGTTATACCTGACTAAATTGAGAGGAAGCATGAGATTGAAGGTTACTAGGAGGAAGAGTATACTTGATTTTTTGATTTGCTTTGCTTTTTCTTCTCAGTCTTGTTTTATAAATTTTGAAGCCCTTTTATTTACAACTTCTCTGTAGGAATGGTTGTTGATCTACAAGCTCTTAGAATATAGACAGTGTTAGCTGTGCTTAAGCAGGTTACTCCCTTCAGCCAGGTCAAAACATTACCCAGAGCAGAAAATGCATCATTTCATGACAGCACTTCTGGAAAAGTGGGAAAGGAAAATGGTACACAGAGGAAGTTGCCATCAAAAGCACACAAAGGAAACAGCAAGCAGACAAGGGAATAACCTTTCTTTGAAATAAGGCAAAATGAGATATTTACATTACTTTAAGACATTTAAAGAGAACTTTTACTGGTACAATTTTCCTGAATAAGGGAATCCTTAGAAACTTTGTCATAGAAACATTTCTTTGCAGAATAGGAAAAGAGTTTCAGGACTTCCCCCAGCAGCCCACCACCCGAGATTCAAATAACCTCAAGTTATTTGAGTCAGAGACCAGTTCATGCTTTGAGGAGAGATGTTTAAATCTGTGGGGGCTTTTTGCAACAATATTGTCACAGGTTGGCCTTAGTAAACCTACACATCTTATCAAGCACAATGTCTTCCAGAACATTTTTCCCAGGGAAAAATATCTCAGAAATCAGTCTCAGAAATCAAAAGCCCTGCATTTGCCTACACTAATTAGTTCTAGGAATGGGGGCAGGGGAGGGGGAAGAAGGGAAGTTTCAAGAATGCTACATACAAGACATGATTGTTTGGCTAATCAGTAGAAAGTTGAAAATATTCACCAAAGGGTGTGGGAAGCCTTTCTTTGGAAACAGCATCTCCATTTCATGTCACTGAATTTTAAATGATGTGTACCTATTGCAAAAAGTCTCAAAGCTTTTAATTTTGCCTCTTTCCCTGCCACCAAAAGCTCCTGCCAGTGGGTGAGCCTTTCTGATGGAAAATGAGCAAACGCTTAAATGAATGTGTCTCCTCTTGAACGGCTTTGGAGAATCCAATAGGACCTTCTGCTTTAGACAAGTGTTTGATTTTTAAAGAGGCAGGAACAATAACAACTTACTGTTCTGGAAAGATAATGACCTATCTCAAAGAAGGGTCAAGGAAATAGTAAATAATCTTCAACAGAAAAGGGAAAATCTAGAGAAAGTAGAAAATGGGGATGGTATTACATCCTCCAAATCGCCACCTCCCGCCTAAAGGAGGAGGAAAAAGTCCATACACTCATGAGGACCTCCTCATGTCCCTCTTCATAGGAACCGAGCGCTCCTCTAGGGATTTTCTTGTTCCCAGGAGGTGATCAGAGTTAGGAATTACACTTACTGACCTGGACCTCGCGTTTTTGCGGAGACGCGGAAACAAGATGTGTGCAGTCCGTCTGTCCGATGATTAGCCAGCCGACCTGGAGAGGGCCCTGGAAGGTGCCCAAAGGCAAGTCCGGTTCCGTCCCCTCCTAGGGTCCAGGACAGCCCGCGCCGCGCGGGCGGGCAGCCGGAGCAGTCAGAGCGGCTGGGCGGTTGGCGCTGCCGGGTCTGCTGCCGACCTCTCAGGCCAAGCGCGCCTGGGCACCGCACTCACTCGCGGGGTGGGCGGGTGAAGGTGGGAGGATCAGAGATGGGAGCGTGGGGAGGGGGGCAAACCCCACCCTTAAACACAAGAAAACAGGTGCAGAGGCTGCGGGCGATGGTCCTGCAGGGGAGGGGACTGGAGGAGAAGTTTTGGTGGCGAGGGAGCAGGAACAGTGTCCAGGGTCTCTCAGCCGCCTCCCGGGCTTGCAAGCCCGCTCAGCCAGACCCTACCCAGAGGGGCGCCCCCTCGCGGGTCCCCAGCCACCACCTGCAGCTGCTGCTGTCACCTACTGTGCCACCCCCAAGTTTGATACTCTGGGCGTTTGCGCCACCCCTACCTCCCTTCCCTTCCACGAATCTCTCCCTTTGCTCTCTACCCCCCAGTTCCGCGAGAGCTGGCCCGGCGAAGACAGACCTCCTGGACTTGAGGCCGACTTCACCAAATCCGCCCCGGGAAAAGGCGAGGGCAAAGGCGGGGCGGACAGACCCAGCTGCGGCTGAGGGACTGCGGTCCCTAGCAAGGCAGGCGAGCGAAGGAGACCTCAGGCTGGCGGGAGGAGGGCCGGGGCTGGAGAATCCCCGCGCCTCGTAGGGGCTGAGAAAATTCCACAACTTCCAATCGAGAGTTGTTTTCTTTTGTGTGTGTAGGAGCAGAGATGGGGAGCTGGATCCGCGCAGAACCCCGGAAAAGCGCCAGCAGGATTGCACCGAGAACAAATCCTCCGCACCCTCGCCCAGGGCTGGGGCGCAGTGCGCTGGTGCTCCTCTAGCTGGGCGGTCCCTGTGCTCCAAACGAGAAGGTAAAGCGAGTTCAGATCCTGCTGCCCATGATCAGCAATTTCCCTAACAGGTGTCTGCAGACAGTTTATAAGTTGAGTAGTGCAGATTCAGACTCGATAGCCAGGAACCTGTGTAGTGAGCTCTGGCTCAGGTTAAAAGCTAGGATAGGGATAGGATAGGAAAGCTATGGGACACGAATAAAACACAATCTCTCTCTCTCTCTCTCCAGATAGCTGACTTCCGAATCCTTCACTCTTTGATCCTGACCCAAGCCACTCGTGCCACTAGGAGCGCATGCCTATGGAATACTCGCTCCTGTCTCCTTGTGGTGAAGCCTTCCGCTAATGCCCAGAGCCTCCCAGGCTGGATTAGTGGGTAGGAGCAAAACAGGATAGTGGAGACAATCAGCAGAGCAGCAGCGTCTATTTCCTCGGGATTCCTCCCAGGAACCCTATTCGAAGCCATTCCTTCTAAAAGTTTGCAGCCAGTCTCTCTTTCCTTTGTTGGTTTTAAGAGGAGGCAGTAGAGCTACCTACATACAAAAACGAAAGCCTGATACTGGTAACCTAAGTCTTTACTTAACCATCCTCTTCGGAGGCTTTGCACACATTACTTTTCCTCTATGCATTGTCATTTCTGAAATAAGGATGGTCATACTGGTGTGCTTGGAATTTCTCTGAAATATACTCCTAAAAGATTAGATTAAGATTAGATTCCGCTACTCTAAAATGAAAAAAAATATTTATCTGTTTAAAAAGGTAATACATATTCTCCAAGATGTTAATTAAAGGCTTCCCTCAAATGGATTGGATTTTCAGTTCCTTCAGGGTTTTCCACACCCTAATAGTATTGCATTTGTAAGGCATTTTTACAGTGTAACCTGAAATTAATCTTCAGTTAATATAGAATTATGCCCACAGGAGTATAGGAATTGTTTATAAAACAAAGCAGCCTGGGCTTTTCAAATACCTAGAAACAAAGGTAAACAGAAATGGAAATATTTAACATGTTCTACACAGTTCCACTTAAAGTCTTTTAGTAGTTGTTTTTGTTTTGTTTTGTTTTGTTTGTTTTTTCCTTAAGAAAGTACTCTTTGCCCAAATATGTGTTATATGTGACAGGTTCCATTCTTCTCAATATATCTGCATTGGTGAAGAATGAACCATATACCAATAAGTTATAACTTTAAAAGAGTAGAAATGGATTTAAACAACGACCACAAAAACAAATCAAATATCCAGCAAAACAGATGAGTGTTGTCTTTTAGAGCAATTGCTTTGGAAAATTCAACTGATTTCACTGACATTGATTGCACAAAACACATTTTATCTTCTTTAAAATTGCCTTTCAGAAGCGTATTAGCAGCCATAACCAACTATTTGCCTCACTCTCTTATAGACGTGTGTTTGTCTTAGTAGATTCATATAGTTCCACAGACATCTAGTCAGCAACCTCAAAAGAGTAAATGGTCTCTATGATTAATGTCCTTTAATAAAGTTCAGAATTGGATGAGAAACTGATAAACTGAAATGAAAGTCACTTCATAGTGTATCATATTATCAAGGAGAGCTGTGGGAATTAGCTTATGACACTTTTGTGCATCACAGTCTAATTCATATCCTTAAATGTGCATACATATCCTGTGTATTGTAGTAACAATGAACCACTCTGATGAATGTCCATAAACCCAGTTGTGACACTGACAGGAGTTTGGGAGTTTGTGGAAGTGGTGGTGAAATATCGATTAATCCAAATTGAAATAGGACAAGATTATTGATGCTTGATTTCTTTTGTATCAAATCATTTAGTTGCTCAGGAAATTCCATTTCTAACCAGAATATGTGCTGTGACTGCTCTTCAAATAGACAACAGACTCAAACTCAGATGCCTGCATGGTTAGGGCCAATGACATAAATGGACCAGCATGCTAGGTTGTAGGAGAGAGTGGAAAATGTTGATTGCCATAACACCTTGAAGAGCACAAAAACACATGCTATAGCTAAATGGGGAGATTGCTTCTCAGAGTACACTCAGCTGGCCTGCAAAAATCTTGATTCAGTATTGTCAGATACGATTTTTAAGAGAAGCAAAATCCATATTGTTAAAAATCTTCTGAATTTTAAATAAACCAAATTAATTTTTAAAAATCCAAAACTCCTAGTGGACAGGCCAAAATAAATAAGAAATCATAGATAGATAGATAGATAGATAGATAGATAGATAGATAGATAGATAGATAGCAGCCTGACTCATCATGGGCCTCCAATATTGTAACATGTTATATTAGTATTTGATGTCTGACAAATCTCCTTAGATATTTAAAACATAGTTCTACTACCATTTCCCCTACCCCATAGACCATTTCTCAATGCACAGAAATACAAAAGGAATACAGCCAAAGATTAGTTGCCAAATAAGTAATTTTCTTTTCCATTTCTGGTTGAATAGATATTCCCAAGGAGACTCTGAAGTAAGAGATTTGTTGAATAACTGAACAATCCAAATATTTTAGATAGCTAGATGAAATTTCAGAAAAGCTCTCCATTAAAAAAGTTCAATAATATCAGTATTGAGGACCACTTGTGATACATACTTATTAGATAAAGAAAATCATGATATAGATTTCCTGCACTGTAATTTCATTTTAACAGCAAAGATGCTTCCCCCACGGTATAAATAATTTCATTGTTATTTTGATTATAAAAATTATAATCATTGTAAAAGTTAGAATAAACAAAAACATCATAGAAGAAATAGGCATTATCTAAAACAATGCAGTCCCACAGAACTTTCTGCAATAATGGAAATGTTTTGTATCTGGGCTGTGCAGTACAGTAGCCACTAGACATATGTGGTTATTGAGCACTTGACGTGTGGCTAGTGCAACTGAAGAACTGAAATTTTAAATTTTATTGAGTTGTAGTTAATTTGAATGTAAAACTAAATATAGTTGACCCTTGAACAGCACAGTTTGAACTGCACAGGTCCACTTAAACTCAGATCTTTTTCACCCAAACACAAATGGAAAATACAGTGTTTGCGGATGTGAAATGGCCTTTACAGAAGGTCCATTTTTCATATATGTGGTTCTGCAGGGCCGACTGCCAGACATGAATATGCAAGGATTTTGGCATATGCAGGGGTCCTGAAACCAATAGCTGCTCTCCCCGCCCCCCGCCCCAGTATACAGAATGACAACTGTAACCACATAGGGAGCGTAAGTGGTGGACTGTATAAAGTCTAAAATTTCATCATCCAGCATGACCATCATCAGCATATTGGTGTAAAATCTCTACTTTTAATTAACTTGTAGCCTGCCTTCTCAACTTTTAAGCTTAAAAATATGTCAAAAACATATTTCCATTTCCTTAATATAATAAATATACATCCTTCCTTTAATGGTTGCCTAGTCATAAACTGTATGATTATATTCTCATGAGTTATTGTTGTTATGGACAAAACTGTGAGAAATGATCTTGGATATATTTGCAGTACCTTTGTCCAGTTATTTCTTTCACATAAATCCAGCAGGGAGTAAGAGCGAGGTATTTTAAAATTTTTTCCTTAAGCCAAGTTCACATTACATAAACCTTAACCACAAAGGTTAAATTGAATGATGGGAAAACCAAGAAACTTCTTCCATGAAAAGGCAAATACTTCAGGTAACATGGAGTCCACGTAAAGTGTTCAGTATAAAATTTCAGTGGCCCCAGGTGGGGAAGATTGAAGTGGGGAAACTAAATCAGGAGGAAAAAAAAGCACAAGAGAATAAGTTTCTTTGGATTCCAGGGTTTCCTGTTTTCACTCTGCCAGAAAGCTAGCTTTTTCGTTTTTTTTTTTTTCCCCTCACCTTAATATCAGCGGTCCCTGAGAGATTATTGAGTAACTTGTAAGCCATATCAACCTGACTTAAGCCACAGACAGAACAAAGTGGTGCAGTTCCGCTGGAATGTGGAAGCTGATTCCCAAAGAAAAGAAGTAAACCCACAAATCAGGCCACTGGCCAAAAGGAAGAAATTTGAGGAAGGGAGGAAGAGCACAGGACCAAAAAGTGAGCACAGCCAGCTGAAGTGGAAGAATTATCTTAACTCCAGTAATGTAAGAAAAGCTCAGAGAAGCTAATAAAGTCATGTACTTAACTTCTTAGGTTAAACAAACAAAGACTAATGAGTTCCTAGTTAGGAAATATTAATAATCAAACTAGCTGAACATGTAGTTATGGTATTTAGTATATTGAAAACTGATTGTCTTGCTTTATTTAAATGCTTGATACGTTTAGTGAATATTTTTAAGCTTATTAAGTCCCTCTTGTAGAACTAGTATTTAAAGTTTCAATAATTGCCTTGTAGCAAAAATTATGGAACCTAGATATCCTAATGGCCATTTGGTTATAATATAGATTCTCAATAGGTCATATGGATATTTCTGTTTGGATCTATGCCTGCTTTTCCTTTCATGGAGGAGAAGGAGCAGAAGGAGTTAATACCTGAACAGATATAATTGGGGCTGCATCAAATACACATATAAAAAAGTCTATATAAGTGTACTACTTTAAAATAGTCTTTTTAAAAAAAACTTCACTTTTTGAAAAACTAGTCAATCTAATCAAGTTTGTTCTGATGAAAAATTGACTTCCTTCTCTGACCTTCATTTGTAGCGAGTAGTCCAGTAAAGTTTGAATGGGCAAGAAATGGTCATCAAATCGTGAACTTCACAAATCTCATAGGCTAAATTTCTTAAAATATTTGTATGCAATATGAATAAGGCAGGTGTCTTATTCAAGAAAAGCAAGTAGTCATTCAAAGTAAAACGTATGCTACTTCCTAAACTGGGCATATCATTTGCTATGATTTTTATTTCTGTGGATTTGGCTTTTTATTTTTGTTTTGAGTTTTTAATTGCAAATTCAAAGCAATTAAGCAGGATTATAAGCAACATATGCAGCATGTTGCTGAGATTTTTACTTTTTAGCAATCATCCAAATGGATATTGATACTAGTAAGGAACCAAATCTAAAAGGGTATTTAAATGCAAATGATTCACAGTTTGAATTTTAACTAAGAACAAAGGAAGGGACATTTTTAAGTGGAATTCAGAATTTAATCAATGCAAATTTTCATTTGATTATCTGAAACATGCACAGAAGACCCATGGCTAAAGAGGAAACATGCACCATTTTAGAAATTTCAATTTTATTTAATAAGTGTTTATCCTTGTAGCATATAGAGACATAATTTGATATATATTTTTGAATCATACACTGAAAACAAATTTAAGTTTTAATTTTTTTAAAAAGAGTACAAGTAAAATCAAAGCTCTTTCTCATGCTAAATTACTATTGATATCTCCTGAGAAAGGGGAAGTGAAAGATTTATATACAGTTTTCACATAGCATTTTGGAGATGGTGAAATGTTTTATTCAAAATAAAAATTTCAGAACATGAAATGAATAATGCAAGTAGCATTTAATTCATGACTCATTACTCTTTTATTATACAAAGGAATTATATAAAATCCATATACGATTTTATTACGCACCACTCCTACAAAGAAATCTTTATTGAGACTGTATGCTAGACACTGTCCGTGTAAAGATGAATTGTACACAGACCTGCTATTGATTGTCTCTAGTCTGTTAAGGGTACACAGGCTTTTAAATAAAGAAATACATTAAACAGATTGAGATTTCTGAGTGGACTCTGACAGCAGCTTTGAGACCCCAAGGAGGAATGGTCATTTGTTTTTGTTTTTGTTTTTGTTTTAAATGAATCTTGTGTATGGGAAGAATTAGAGAAATGCTTTATGGAGGAGGTACCCCAACCCTTTGTAAACCTAGATAGAAATACTTCTTGGCTTTAGCCAGCATTGGGATACCATCTTCTTTATGAAATATATTTCTCCATTGCATTTAACTGGGATATGTGATACTGAGTCAATGTAGAACCCAGTGGTGAAGAACAATCTTTTACATATGTCAAAGTATAATTTCCAAAGTTAAAGACATTATTCTCAAACAAAATATATAGTGAGTATATGTCAAAGATCTATTTAATTGATAAATTAAAGGGAACCGGCACAACAACAAAGCTGGTTCAAAGTAGGATCCCAAATGTGAATGCATATATAGTCAGTGAAAGGAAGAATCCTGGATAAGACTGATGTGTTAATGCAAAAGTGGTAGATATCCTGCTGTGCTATAAAGCCATAACTTTTGGACTTATATTTCTCACCAGGCAGAAATTATTTGCATCTCTGCTGGGAAAAATAAAATTTCACAATTTTCTATAAGTTTGCATCAAACTTTATGGGGCTGGACTGTAATCTAGGGCACACAATAAGTCAAACTAAATAAGTCACTTTAACCTGGCAAGTCAACTGACCTTTAGGGTCTTAAGATGATGCTCCAACGTGACATTAAAAGGGCATGTGATCATCCTACCCTGCTTTCTTATTGCAACCTAACAAACTACCCCAAAACTCAGTGGCTTAAAACAGTTATTTTATGTTGCTCTTTGTGGGTCAGAAGTTCAGGAAAGGCCCAGTTAGGCGGTTCATCTCTGATCCATGTGGCATCAACTGAAGAATGATGGTAACTTGACTCACATGTCCTGGCTCCTGAGCTGAGTTGGTGATAGTACTTGGAAGCTCATGCTTCCCCCTGTTTACACATGACAGTCTCAGAGTATTTAGACTTATAACATGGATTTTAGCTTTCCAAAGAGAAAAGCTTCTAAAAGAGAGTGTTCTGTGTGACCCAGGCAGAAACTATAAGGCTTCTTATGACCTCTCAAGGCCCAGAACATCTCTTCTGCTGATCCTTTGGGGGAAACAAGTCTCTAAGATCACACTATATACAAAGGGAGAAGAGGAATATACTCTACCTGTGAATGAGAAAATGGCACGTATATACAATGGAGGGAAGGAATTGATGATAGTCTAAGAGAAATATCATTACCCATCCCTTTGCCTTGCAGTATATATATTGTTTGCATTTGTAGTTTTATATTTTATTTTATTTTATTTTATTTTACTTTAAGTTCCAGGATACAAGTGCAGAGCGTGTAGGTTTGTTACGTAGGTACACTTGTGCCATGGTGATTCGCTGCACCTATCAACCCGTCATCTAGGTTTTAAGCCCCACGTGCATTAGCAGTTTGTCTTAATGCTCTCCCTCCCCTCACCCCCAAACCACCAACTGGTCCTAGTGTGTGTTGTTCCCCTCCCTGTGTCCATGTGTTCTCATTGTTCAACTCCCACTTATGGGTGAGAACATGCAGTGTTTGATTTTCTGTTCCTGCATTAGTTTGCTGAGGATGATGGCTCCCAGCTTCATCCATGTCCCTGCAAAGGACATGATTTCATTCCTTTTTATGGCTGCATAGTATTCCATGATGTATATGTACCACATTTTCTTTATCTAGTCTATCATTCATGGACATTTGGGTTGGTTCCATGTCTTTACTATTGTAAATAGTGCTGCAGTAAACATACATGTACGTGTGTCTTTAAAGTAGAATGATCTATATTCCTTTGAGTATATACCCAGTAATGGGATCACTGGGTCAATTGGTATTTCTGGTTCTAGATCCTTGAGGAATCGTCACACTGTCTTCCACAATGTTTGAACTAATTTACAATCCCAAACAGTGTTAAAGTGTTCCTATTTTCCACAGCTTCTTCAGCATCTATTGTTTCTTAACTTTTTAATAATCACCATTCTGACTGACATGAGATGGTATCTCACTGTGGTTTTGATTTGCATTTCTCTCTCTAATGATCAGTGATGTTGAGCTTTTTTTCCCCATATGTTTGTTGACCACGTAATGTCTTCTTTTGAGAAGTGTCTGTTCAGATCCTTTGCCCACTTCTTTATGGGGTTGTTTGTTTTTTCTTATAAATTTGGTTAAGTTCTTCGTAGATTTTTGATATTAGACCTTTGTCAAATGGGTATATTGCAAACTTGTCTCACATTGTATAAGGTTGTCTGTTCATTCCAATGATAGTTTACTTTGCTGTGCAGAAGCTCTTTAGTTTAATGGTCAATTTTGGCTTTTGTTGCAGTTGCTTTTGTTGTTGTCGTCAGGAAGTCTTTGCCCATGCCTATGTCATTAACGGTATTGCCTAGATTTTCTCTAGGATTTTTATGGTTTGGGGTTTGGTTTTACGTTTAAGTCTTTAATCCATCTCAAGTAAATTTTTGTATAAGGTGTAAGGAAGGGGTCCAGTTTCAGTTTTCTGCATATGGCTAGCCAGTTTTCCTGGCACCATTTATTAAATAAGGAAACCTTTCCCCATAGCTTGTTTTTGTCCAGTTCAGATGGTTGCAGATTTGTGGTGTTATTTCTGAGGTCTCTGTTCTGTTCCATTGGTCTATATTTCTGTTTTGGTACAAGTACCATGCTATTTTGGTTGCTGTAGACTTGTATATAGTTTGAAGTCAGGTAGTATGATGCCTCCAGTTTTGTTCTTTTTGCTTAGGATTGTCTTGGCTATATGGGCTCTTTTTTGGTTCCATATAAATTTTAAAGTAGTTTTTTTTCTAATTCTGTGAAGAATGGCAATAGTAGTTTGATGGGAATAGCATCGAATCTATAAATTACTTTGGGCAGTATGGCCATTTTAACAATATTGATTCTTTCTATCTGTGAGGATGAAATGTTTTTCCATTTGTTTGTGTCTTCTCATTTCCTTGAGCAGTAGTTTGTATTTCTCCTTGCAGAGGTCTTTCATGTCCCTTGTTAGCTGTATTCCTAGGGCCTTATACTCTATTTTAGATGTTGTTTGTTTGTTCAATACACACATTAAAGAGCAATTTTCCAGTAAAGGCAGAGCCAGAGACTGCAAAATCTAAAAATTTCTCTGCCAGTAGAAGCCCAATAGGTAAGAATACACAATGAAAATAGAAGGGGTATTTACAATGTGTGCACTTAGATGAACATGGTGTTCAGTACACATAAACAATTTGTAAAAAGGAAAAATTACACTAGGAGGCAATTTCTACTTCCAGACTGTAGGTTTTAAGTAGATTTACTCTTGTATTGGTTTACTTAAACTGAATGGTATTTAAGCTTGTTAAAACCCTAGGCAAGAACACAATGCAAGGTTTCCTAGTAACCAATTTCAATATTTAACTGCCACATTCTCAACACTACTTTCACTGGGTAGTATAGCCCAGGAGGAAGGAAGTGTGGAGAGCTACCTGTACTCTACACATGGCCTTATTGTTGAGTAATGCATAGAAGTTGGTCTTAGAAGATCTGAGCAATGTCTTGAACATGTGGTTCACTTGCTATGTGATTTGAAAATGTCATTTAATCTATCTGAACTTCAGATTTCTCCACTGTAAAATAAGAGGCATATATTAAATTTGACAAGGGCATCTGACACTGAAAGTCAGTGAAATCACTTAGCTTTCCCCAACAGAAAAAAAATATATATCAAATATATATATTATATATAATATATTATATATATCAAATATATTATATATTTATATTTATATAAGATATTTGATATATATTTATAAAATATATTTGATATATAAAAATATGTAGTACTTTATATCATAGGCATATTACTTAATTTTAAATGTTTTATATATAACTTTTAAAGATATATATATTTTATATACATATATATAATTAATTGTGAAATTTACCAATTTGGTGTTTGGTTTGACTCCACTGAAAAAGGGTTATTTATTCATATTCATGCTATTGAATGCTTTCATCAGGCATATAACTATGAAACATGTAGAACAAATTAAAATTTTCAGATGATGCTAAGTGCATGGTTCCCAATTTTGCACTGATGTAACCCAGATAACCACAGCAAATTCACATGAGTGCTCATGGGGTATTTGACATTTTAGAGGAAAGCCCAGACATGATCAATACCTGTTAGATACCAACATTTAATATCTATTAGGCACTGCACAAAGTACAGCTTGAGCTATTTCACAGGGTCAGTATGAAATTGTGCCACATACCTTTTGATGACATATTTTTATGAAGCTTGGTTTAAGAAATAGTTGCTGTGATACAAAGAAATTATCATGTGGAAAGTCAGAGAGGAAGAGGAAATGAGAGTAGAAGTGGCGTGAGAAGTTGTGCAGAGCCCGCCAGGCACACATATATCTCATTAGTATGTAGTTGTGTTTATTAAGAATAAAATAATACAATTTTTTCAATTTATATGTGTGTTTTTCAAATGGACCTATCTACTTGATAAGATGTAGTCTTAGGTGCTTCTTTTGGCCTGGGGGGCACCATGAAGTTTTTGCTCTCAGACCATGTCTATACATATTATATTTTGCTCACTTATGGAGAAACCATTTAATTTAGCTATTCATGTTAGTTCCTTAACATATGATTACCCCAGAATGTTTTTCAGTGAAAGTTACTATTAGGAATCTATTTTTTTTCACTTATAGAGAGGGTTTAATAAAAGCTTGTATATATGTGCAGGCATGCATACGTCAGTATTTTATGGAGTTCTTTGAATTGTTCTGCTTCATCCCACTCTAGCAAGGATGACAGAGAGCTCCTCCTAGTCAGGAAAGAAGGGAAGAAAGTAAGAAGGAAGGAAAGCAGGCAGGAAAGAAGGAAGGAAGGAAGAAGTGGGAGAGGGGACATACAGGCACATAAGGAAAAGTAGAGAAGTCACACAATAGCATAAATTATAAGTAGGTTTACACTCCCATTTGTGACCTTAGGTTTATTCAGAAATATGATACCTACAAATAATTTAATAGTCATTCATATATGACCTCACTACTAAACTCATTACTGAAAACCTATATAAAATGAAACATGTTTACCACAAAAAAAGTATTTATTTTAACTGCAAGATATGAAGTTGGATGTAAATTATAATCACATATTTTTAAACATGACAGTGAAAAAAACTCAGAGTAAATATATACAAAAGTTAACTATATTTATGGCATGAGTACTATATTAATTCTTTCTTCATCTTTCTTTTTGAATTTTCCCAAATGAACCTTAGTATTTTGAGCAATGAAAATAATATATATTATGTAAAATTTCTTTTAACAGAGATAGTTCTGGAAAAGTGAAGTGTGGAACTCAACCTATTAGCTATTTAATTCATGACATCTCTTAAAATAAATAGGAATTTTACTGTCCCATCCACACAATTCTTTCCCTCAAACTCTATAGCCTAGATGAGCTCCTTTGAACTGAAGGCCCACATTAGAATCACCGGAGGTGCTTTATAAGTATACAGATGATGAGATCCCCCCTCTGGCCCCAGAGAGTCCTCTTTGGTACATCTGGAAGGCACTCACAGGGCCACATGTGATTCTGTTACTTCAGCCTCACCACTCTTGACTATGACTCTCTCCTTCAAGCACCTGCACACCTTCCCTATTCCCTTATTAAAAGGCTCTTCAGCTACCTTTTTCTCTTCCCTAATTCAAACTACTACTCAAAACAATTCCAGACATAATTCAAATCCTATCCACAAAAAGACATGGACCATCTTTCTGAGCCCTAGTTACTTTCAGTCACTCCTGCCATTCCATACTGCCTTGGCTTCAATCTGTAATCTCAATTTCAGTCCCGTTGAGCCCATGATTATATCATTTATGTTCAAGATAATTATATTAGCATTTGGCCATTCTCTTCAGCATCTTTCTTGCCATCACTGATGACTCCTTCAAAGTTTAAAAGGTAAACTATGTGAATTTTCTTTTCGGTGCTTTATCCTCTCCTTCCCTCCATGATAACCTACTCTCAGGAAAGCCTCTAAGGTAATTCATGCTGAGGTGTCAGTAACCCATATTGGGGAAAAAAAGAAGAAGCAGAAAAAGTGAAGCTGTCAGAAGAATGCTCAAACTATAAAATGTTAGACACCGACCAGGATGTAAAAGGAGTGTAATTTTGGTTTAGTTCCATTTTTGGATTTTAGCAGCAAGATCTCCTAAGCTTCTGAAGACCATATTATCATGCATGGGCAATGCATTTATGATTTTTTTTCATTTTAGAAATAATTACTAAGACCTTCAATTTAATCCTTTAACATGTAGATGACACTTGAATAAAACTTTCGTTTTCTGGAATCCATTCTACACTTTCCTTATCATCACTGAGTTATTTTCTTAACACTAATAACTAAGAGCAAATGTTACACAATCTTATAATCTTCTAACAGCTCTGTCCTCTGGCATCTTTTTGTGATTTCTTGTATTTCATGGCAGTTTTAAACATAGCTGTAGTAAAGCCTCTGAGTGGTTCATTCATCTTGCTCTTGGTCTGCTAGCACATCTAAATTTGATAAAGAAATCGTTTTGTTTGGAGATTCCAATTACCTAACTGAGTTTACCTGAAACAGGGAATGCATACAGAAAATGTAAATATAGCCTTCTGTTAAGTGGATTGTACATTATATTATATGCCACTAAGATGGTAATATTAATAGATGGAATAAAATATAGGTTATATTATAATACTAAGATTATATTTAAATAAGCATAGTGGATAAAATACAAATATGGAATAGATTATTAAAAAACTAGGGCTATATTTCTTAACTGTGGTGCTAGGATTTGGTTCCCTTCATCAAAATTGTCTGGTGTTCCTGTCAATAATGTAGATTCCCAGACTCTGCCCCGGACACTAAGGTCAAAGAATCTCTTGGCATGAGAGATGCAATCTGCAATTATCAAACTCTCCAAATATTTTTTCATTTATACCTAATTTTAAGAAGCACTTAACGGGTGAATATCTTGCAAATATGCCAATAAATAAAGGGATAAATACATATGAAGGAGAGAGAGAGACAGAGAGAGAGAGAATGTCATCTGAATTATTCAGGTTGACATGTTATGTTCTTCAGAAGCTGCTGCAGAGTTCTTTATTTCCTGTTGCTCATACAGATTCAATGTTAAAATACATTTAGTTTACACTGATAAAATTATTTGTAGATATAAGTTATCCATTGTAAATTCTTGGGGATACATCTCTTTGCTTAATTAACTTTGTAGTTAGAAGACATACACATGACCAAAAAGCATGTGAAAAAAATGCCCAAAATGCCTGATCATTAGAGAAATACAAACCAAAACCACAATGAGATACCATCTCACACCAGTCAGAATGGCTATTATGAAAAAGTCAGAAAATAGCAGGTGCTGGAGAGGTTGCAGAGCAAAGGGAATGCTTATATACTGTTGGTGGAAATGTAAATTGATTCAGCCACTGTGGAAAGCAGTATGGAGATTTCTCAAAGAACTCAGAACTGCCATTCACCCAGCAATCTCATTACCAGGTATACACTCAAAGGAATATAAATTGTCTACCAAAAAGACACATGCATTTATGTGTTTATTGTAGCACTACTCACAATAGCAAAGATGTGGAATCAACCAAGATGCCCATCAGTGGTGGATAAAGAAAATATGGTACATATGCACCATGGAATACTACACAGCCATAAAAAGGAATGAAATCATGTCCTTTGTAGCAGTGAATGTAGGTAGAGTCCATTATCCTAAGTAAATTAATGCAGATATAGAAAGTCAAATATTGCATGTTCTCACTTATAAGTGGGAGCTAAGCATTGAGTACACATGGACACAAAGTAGGGGACAAAAAACACTGAGGCCTACTTGAGGATGGAGGGTGAGAGGAGAGTGAGAGTCAACAAACTACCTGTCGGGGACTATGCTCACTGCCTGGGTGACGAAATCATTGGTACACCAAACCCCAGCAACATGAAATTTACCCATGAAACAAATCTGCACATGTATGTCCTGAACCTAAAATAAAACTTAAAAAAGAAAAAATATATAAAACAATTATTATTTCCTATAAAGACTATGCTGTACAGTAGATCTCTAGGAATTATTCATCTTGCACAAACGAAAATGTGTGCCATCTGCTTCCATTTTTCTAGCTTTGTCGAGATACAGTTGACAAACAAACACTGTATGTATATTTTTTAAAAAGTCAGAGACTCACTTCCCTAGAGAAACAGTCCATTAACATGCTAAGCAGGTTAAATTTCCTTATCAGAGAGCTCTTAGTCCTGTGTGTCTCTCTTTGACACTTGTAGCACTTTCAATTTCACATTTTAATGTGATTATTTTACACTTTGATGAATACCTATTTCCCAGCTAGACCTTGAGAACACGAGACAGGTTCTGTGTTTGTTTCATCTGTGTTTGTTTCCATGTTTGTTTCATCCACCACTGTATCATCAGCATCTAGCACAGTGCCTCTTACACACAGATGTCAATAAATGTTTCTCATACATTTGTATGTACTAGAGAGGTAGGAAAAGATAGTGAGTGTTCCAAATATTCCTCCTATTAACAGGTAAAACTATGGATGCACGAACTATTCATCCCTCTTAATGTCCTACTCTCTGTTCCTTCAGTGCCATGCCTAGGTGGACCTCACATCTCTTAGAGAGAATACTGAACAAGTCTCTCCTTCTTGCTGTCATCTCCTCTTCTAGGTACAAGTTATCCACCCCACCATCTAAGGAAAGTAGATTTCCCTCTGACTCAAGGACACAAATCTTTCCATTTCTCCTTGGATCCCATTTCTCAGGCGAGCCCTTATTTCTGAAGTTAATTCCTGCTTGCACCTTGGATAAATAATGGCTCACACATCTAACAGAGATAGCTGTGGCCTCGTGATTATGTGTAAATGGGCTGGGGACTTAGCCTGCCTGGATTTAAATACCTGTTATGCCACCCATTAGCCATTAGGCTTCTGGGCAAATTAGTTGGACAAGTCCTCTGGGCTTCATATTCCTTATCTGTGAAAGAGGGGTAATGGTATTGAACCTATAAAGCTGTTGTAAGGATTCGATGGGACCGTATATATATATAGTCTCTAGGATTAAAGAGTTCTACATTTGGCTCAGAGTAAGCTCTCAAAAAATATTGGCTATTATTATTGAATGGACATCTTGCCTCCTTCCTCTACTCGTCAGTTTTCAGTTAAATACCTTTGCTTGATCCTACAATCCCTTCTCATAACATCTTTACTCTCAAACACCAGATTTTTTTAAAACTATTGTGACCTCCCTTACTACTCCATTCTTGCCTACTTAAAATGGACACTCATACCAGAAAAGATATTCCAGATGAATGGAAATCTAAATGGGTTATTACCCACAACAGGCAGCACTGGGCCTTGTCCTTCTACAGCCTACACAGAAATGATTCCTTCTCCTCTTCCTCACTTCCAGAGACTGGGTCTAGAAAACACTAGCTGTCTTGAGGTTTGGAGCTGAGAAAATGGTTTATTCTCACAATAATGTTAGTCGTAAGAGTTGTGCCTCTCTTGAAGTCTTGCATATTTTCAAGTTACATTTATGAAACTCTTGGTTACTCATTGATGGGTATTTAAACCAATGATAGAGTATAGAAATTGAAAGCTGTTAAGCAATTAATTTTGAAAATTTTAAAACTGTGTGTGAGATATTAAATATATTTACTAAGAGCAAGGAATGTCTATAGAAAATTGCATATTATGCAGACTGAAATGGACTCTTTTTTGTTTTAGAAAATTATTATAAATACCTAGATCAAGAATGTAAATTGAGCATTACAAATTATCCTGTGCAATGATTAGAATGGTCATAAGCAAGCTACTAGGCCTTTTTTTTCACAATGTCTTCACTAATATATTCTCACCCCAAATCAGACAAGTGACATAATTTCAAATAGAAATTATTTTCTATTTGCCAGCCTCTTGGAGTTGGTTCTAACAGATACAAAATTGCAAACTGTTTATGCCTTCTTAAATATAAAACCACAGGTTACATCAACAGGTCAGCTAACGAAACAAAGCAAGTGCATTCATCTCTGGCAGCTGTCTTGAACACTATAATAATCCTGTTTTGAAAGACAGCACTTGTGATCCAGAATTATTTTGCAGTTTCATGATTAAGGTAAAATGGATTTGAACACTGATACCCCTACCTTACAGAAAAATGCTATAAATACTGGAACTCAGAAAGATAAGATGAAAGTATCGCCAGAAAATTCACTCAGAAAATAATATTTTGCATACAATGATGCATAAAGTGGTGACTTTAAAATTCACCAAACATAAATGATTTTTAGAATCCATATTGCCCTACAAATAATCAAACAACCTTTTAAAATAAAATATTTATGGAGTATGTAGTATGTGACAGCCACTTTACCAGTCCCTGAAGTAAGAGTGACAGTTCTCGCTCCAAAGGGCTTAAAGTCTAGTTAAAGTGTTGACATGTGAAAAATAAGTTGCAATGTTATAAGTACACTAGAAAGTCCACAAGCCATAAATTTAGTCCAGCAAAGTAAAATGCATGGTTAATGTTCCATAGGAAAACTGAGAATGTAGAGATGAAATTCAGGCAAGGATTTGAAAGATGAATAAGGGTTTGCCACTTAGTTACAGAAGGAGAAAACATAAGTATCTACCTCTAATAAATTTTATTTTCCCATTAGAAGTAGAAAACATTAATGTGAAACGTGTTTTGGCATCTAGATTTATGGTACTTCAGTGTACCTCACTATGCATTTGCCAGATGTCTGAAAAAATGGGAAAGTTTTCACATAAGTTTAGAAAAGGGCAAAGAGAAAGAAAGAAAAGTCTTCTGGTTAGGCTACAGTTCCAAGATTATGAGAATTACATTTAGGTGGTAAGGTGGAAAGCTTGCTTGGCTAGGGAATGCCTGTGCTTTTGTACCTCCTATTGGACAAAGAATGTGAGATTTTATGGTCCTCACTTCACCTGAAAATGAAATGTGGAGCTAGGTTCGCATTAACCAAACAAAGATCCACTCAGCAAAGTATTAAGTGCCTGTGTCTTTTTCTTTTCTTTCAAAATTTGGGAGAATGCATCTCCATTCTCTTCTTCACCTCTTTCTATTCTGCCTCTTCTCTGCTGTCTTAGTTTAGGGGTTTCAAAAACGCAAATGTGCTTTATCATTTCCAATTGAACATGTAGTCATCTAGTTGAGAAACAATGAAATAGATAACTTCAAAACTCTCTTCCAGCAATAAAATTCTGTGATAATTAAGAAACAATAGCTATTTTTTGACAAATGAAATTTAAATTCTGAAAATATAATTAAGTTTGTGAATTGGAAACATATAGTGAGAAACACAAACAGTAATTATTTAAATGCTTTTTGTGTAACAATGAGAGAGCCAACATAGAAAAACTACCAATTTGCTTATTTTCCCCTTAGTAAGAAAGATGCTTGGATATTGAATCGCCTGCCTTTTCATTTGACGAATATAGACATAACCTCATACGTTAAAGCTCTGAAGGTGCACCCAGGTAAATTCCAGGTAAATTACTATTGATATTTGGCAATTCTGGTTTACGTCATTGAATGAATTTCTGAAGTAATTATCATGATTTTATCCTAGTTCTTCAACTGCATTTGCTATTTTGTACAGAAATTATACATTTCAAGTATTTAATTTAAAACATGACAGTACTTGAGAACAGAACAAGAATATATAATAAACACCCTCCTTTTATTTTACTCTATCTGTCCCTTACTCACTAATATAGTACAGGAAGTTGAGGCTTGGGAAAGCCAAAAATAAGAGAAAGGTGGTTTTGAAACTGTGTTACCTGTTTTCTTTTGAGTGGTTGATCATTTATTTAATCTATGCTCTGATTACAAAATATGTTTTCTATATTCTGTTCTTCTTAAAAACTCAAAACTCTAAATAGCCATATTTGTGACCTTTCCAAGGAAATGATGCAATACTTGAAAACAGGTATCTAACTCACTCTCAACTAATAGAGTCATTCTTTAATCTTAGCATTTTTCCTAGCAGTTAGGAGCATCAGAAAGGTATACCTTTTATTTAACTTGAAACATGGATTTTTAAAATTTTACTTGAATTCAAATGTTGCCCATGCAATTCTTGCAGAGTCATTGCATTGGTTTTAAAAACATTTAAGTGTCTATCTACATGTGGGCCTGAGCTGCATTTTCTCTTTCTCCCAGGATTTAAAAATCTAAGCATTAGCCCTGATGTACATTCAGTGACTTCCAGAGAGAGAAAAGCATTTGTTCAAATGTATAATTTGATATCACTAAATACGGATGAACTCTGCTTTAAAAGACAAATAGCTCAATATAACTTAAAGAAAAGAAAGAGTAAGGATATGCAAAAGTAACATTGTAACATGCTCTCAGAAGGATTTTTTGCTTTCCAATGGAATTACTGAAGAATTCCTATAAATAATGAAAGCCGCCTATATTATTTGATTTATAAAAAATTGAATTAGGAAACATAGGAGTAGGGTCCCTACTCCTGGTTTGGTTGTAGATGGTATGTATGGCATTTTATAAGCAACTAGGGCTGAGCAAATATATTTTTTATTCATTTTATATTATATTGAACAATAACTTTGTAGCATGAATTTTGCTCTATGTATACAATAGATATATAACTTATAAAAATGCTACTTTAAAAGATTCATAACTTTGAGTCTAGCCCATGCAAAAGCCCACCATCCACTGGACAAGAGATACATTTTAAAAATTAATTATGTCACAAGGTGATAAGTCCTATAATACATATATGATTCACAGAAGATTTAACATTTTATTTGTATCTACCAGATACAAACAGATGGGGGCTAGGACAGAGGACAGGAATTTCTAAGCAGAGGAAACACTAGCAAATTCATGGAGATGTAGTTACTGCTGACACAGGGGACTGGCTCCATATAGTGCAGGATGCCTTTGGTGAAATGGTAAAAGATTATACTGAGGAGGTACATAATATCTGCATAATTGAAGATGATGTACTCCAGGCCAGCTAGTTGCATTATTGTACTGATAATGTACAGTCATTGAGAGGTTTAAAGCACACAAAAAGTGTGGTCATTTCTGAGATTTAGTAAGAACATTCTGGTAGCAATGTAAACATTTTATGGGAGGAAGGGATGTGACTTAGAACAGTGATTCACAAATAAGGCATATCGTAATATTAGAATTACATGAAGTGCTTTAAAAAAGCTCTGCAGGTCTCTGGTCCCCATCCCACATTTAAAGAGGTCTGAGAACCTGTATTTTTTAAAAGTTCTCTTATTAGTTATTTATTACTAAGTAAAACACTACCACAAATTTTGCAGCTAAAACAAGCATTTATTATCTCAGAGTTTCTGGAATTAGGACATGGTTTATCCACGTCTTCTACTTCAGGATATCTCACAAGGCTACAGTTAATATTTTGGACAAATATGGGGTCCCATCTGAGGTTTGACTGGGAAAGGATCAGCTTCAAAGATCAGATGGCTGCTAGCAGGATTCAGTTTCTTGTGGGTTGTCAGACTGAGAGCTTCATCTCCTTGCTAGCTGTTGCCTGGAGGCTTCTTCAGTCCCTTGTCACATAGGTCTCTCTAAGTGGAGGTTTACTTCATTAAAGTCAGCAAGGGAAAGAGTCTGCTAGCAAGAGGAAAGTTTTACTCATATGTAACATAATCATGGAAGAGACCTCCCATCACCTTTGCCGCTTTTGACTGTTTTGAAGCAATTCACATGGTGTCCATACTCAAGATGGGGGATTTATACAAGGGCTTGAATACTGGGAGACAGGGGAAATCAGGAACCATCTTAGAGTCTACAGACAATGCACCTCATGTGATTCTGATGAACACACAAGTTTGAAAACACTGAATCAGAGACTTTAGGATGCAAAAATTTGGCAAGGATTAAGCTTAGAAAGAAGATCTCAAAAACTTTGAAAAAATAATGTACATAGAACAGGTGATTCTTTTGTATGGGGAATGAGGTTAGGGAGGAAAGAGCCTGATTATCAAGCTTTGGACATGGTCATTGAGTGTATAGTGAAGCCACTAACCAAAAGAGGAAGTAAAAAAGAGAAACATGTTTTGAAAAATAATAATGGATTTAGTTTTAGATCTGTTGTACTCATAGTGCTTATGAGGTGTGTTATGTGGAATAGGGCCTCAAAAAAAAGTGGATGGCATGTCTTTTCAATGATATTCAGAAGCATTGTTCGCCAGGCCCACCAAAGGTTTATTGCATTATCTAGGAGAATGTTCTTCATTCTGCTCACTGTTGACAACAAATTAAAAGTCCTAGACTTAGGTTACATATTAACTTGCATATTTTTGTCCACTGCAGTTGCAATTTCTTTTCATGGAAAAGATAAAGGTTGTGGCTTATTTTTCTGTACGACATTAAACATTTTTTGCAACTACATTGACAATCTTATTTGTAATGAAATTAACTACAAATGACCTGAGCCATGAATAGTTTCTGAACTCACCTTACCATTTTACTCTTTCATCAATAAGATGAAGAAAATATTTGACACATGCTGTTTATATTTGTATGAACCATGTGTTTATTTTATTTTTACATTTTGAAAATTATCCTTTGGAGGTACTGCCAAGATGTCCAAGTGAATTCACTTAATGAAGCCAATTAAACTGCACTGTGTAAGGGCAAGACTCTCTCTCTCTCTCTCTCACGCTGCTCCTGAAGTAGCAATCAAATTTTACCTCTGCACTTCTCTAGGTTTTATATCTACTGGTTTGTTTCTTTGTGTCTTTGGTTCTTGTCTTTCTTAGAGTCTCATTCCATTTGCACATACAAAATGTTATTCCTCAATAACGGCGACAATGACCAGAAAACCAGATTTATGATCTGACCTTTTGGTGATTCCTGCCAAGATGATGGGGATCTATTCTCTGTTGCATGTTAAATAGTAGAGAGTTTACTTTCTTATTATTTTATTCTATCTGTTCACACAAATCAATTAAGGAATCATTTTGTGGCCACTAGAAAGGAGGACATCTCTCTGAGGTCTGATGTAGTGCGTTTCAGTGATTAATTTACCCACGGCTGAGAGTGGAGCTGCAAGCTGTGTGCCTGCACATCTGTAACTGAGAAAAACCTTTATCTGTTGCATCAGTATAAACTATTTCCTACTTCCATTAGGTTCCAATTAATTAGATTCTGAAGTTCCTCTAATTAAAGGAGCTCTGTTCTAATTACTTCATAGAGAATAATAAGACTGACATAAATCTCATATTTCTCCAAAATTGTAGAAAATAAAGAAGCTGAACTTTTCATACTTATATGTGTTAGACTTTTAAGGAAATTTTTTCTTTTAACTGATAGCCAAGAAATATTTTTATATAAGAACCCAAGTTTATACAGTCCAGGTAAATTCTTAGATAAATCACATTACTTGAATGAGTTTGATTTAAAAACACAGCTATATTTGAACTAATAGAAACAGGGAGTAAAACAGTGGTTACCAAGGCTGGGAGTGGTCAGGAAGATGTTGGTCAAAGGACACAAAATTTCGGTTAGGAGGAATAAATTTTAAAGATCTACTGTGTATCATGATGAGTATAGTTACTAACATTATATTGTATACATGAAAATTATTAAGAGAGTAGATTTTCAGTGCTCTTGCCATACACACAAAAAATTAGCAAGCGTATCAGGTAATTCATATGTTAATTGGCTTGATTTAGCCAATCCACAATGCAAACATATATTAAAATATGTTGTACACCGTAAATCTATACAATTTCAATTTGTCAATTTAAAAATATAAACAAAAAATTAAAAAATGAACACAGCTATATGGCTTTTTCTTGATGTGATTTTCAGATTTGTGTTTGTTTTCACATTAGTTGACACTAGTTCATCTGAACTTACTAAATTTCTTACACTGCTTTACTAATCAAATAACCTAAAATATGATTTATCATTATGGTTAATATAAAGCTGTGTTAAACTAAATTGAGTCACAAGTCTGACAAATTGTTTTATATAGGCAGAATCATGTTTTCTAATGTGTTAGTTTAAAACATGACATCCAAGATTCTTAATTAACTGTATAACCTTGGACTAATATTAAGTCTAACTAATAAATAATCTTTGGATCCCTGGGTAAATTTTAAGTAGGAAGGAACACTGACAGCTTGATCATAAGGCATAGTTGTTAACACATGTCCCTTTGATTCTTAGTCTTAGTATGATACAGAGTGGCGATACTTTCTGGTCTTGTTAATGAATGTGTACTGTTGCTCTTGTCACTTTTCAGACGTGTAAACATGATGTATATGCTTTATCATGTCCTTGATTACTGACAAAACCAAAAAAAACACATTTCACTCACCCCTGAAAAAGTTAATATTTCTTACAATAGATGGTGTGACTGCCTTTTATGCTTTCTTAAAAAACTATAATACACACTGATTAAATAGATAGGCAGTTATTATTCACCCACCAGGCACACATGATTCTCTCTTAATCAAGTGACAAGAAACTTTCAACAACTTGTTTGATTTTTGTTGTACCAAAATTAGATCCTCCATTTACAAAAAAAAAAAAATGCATTTCTTTAATATTTAAAACTACCTTAGAGATTTTCTCCAGGGAGTCAAAAAATCATTTATTTGCGTTATGAAGAAAGGGATATGGAAATAACTAGTTTTTTTATGCTCCATATTTCTTAATTACTACTAACAGTATTATAAGAACTTTATGGGGAGAAATGTTAAATCAAATGATAATTTTGTACAGGTAAAATGTTGCTACTATAAATTTTTCAGGGACTACAGAATAGACTGGAAGACCTTGGAGGTGTTTTAATGACCTCACTATCATAATATGTCTTTATGTTTAGAGGAAATATTGAAGGAATTTTTATTAAAAATATATGTTGGCTGGGCGCGGTGGCTCACGCCTGTAATCCCATCACTTTGGGAGGCTGAGGCAGGCAGATCACAAAGTCAGGAATTTGAGACCAGCCTGGCCAATATGGTGAAACCCCGTCTCTACTAAAAATACAAAACTTAGCCACGCGTGGTGGCAGGCGCCTGTGGTCCCATCTACTCGGGAGGCTGAGGCAGGAGAATCGCTTGAACCTGGGAGGTGGAGTTTGCAGTGAGCCAAGATTGTGCCACTGTACTCCAACCTGGGTGACAGAGCGAGACTCCATCTCAGGAAAAAAAAAATATATATATATATAGTTGTACCTAACAGGATTTTTACTCTCTCTCATTCCAATTTTGTTTTTATAATATTTTTTATAAATATATATAATATATATATAATTTAGCAGACTATGTATTTAAAAATAAAATGAAATATATCTTTTCCATAGTATCTGATTTTCACTGACAGAATTCAGAAACAAATATTTTGACTGCTTTCCCTTACTTTTCATGACAATACAGTTACTTGCATAGGTTTAATAATAATTTGTATTACATTTTGCCAGACACAATTAGACTAATAGATTGTGCAATAAAGGCTATCGCGCAGCACAATATTTGAGAATGATTCTCAGTTATTCAGATATGACAAAGAAAACACTAAGAAATAATGACTGTACTTGGTATATGAAACCACTGCCTGAAAAGCCAATGGAAGAAAATAGGTCTCAGACCTTTTTTATGGCTCAGGGGGCCCCAGCTTCATGGGTCATTCCTGGTAGAGAGAGTGTGTACTTTGGAGGATCTCTAGGACAGAGAAATCCACCCAACTTTACTTATAGGCTGAGAGAGTATACTTAGCTTTGTTTTTTAGCCTTGGAATAAATACAGGTAGTATGGGCTTCTCAAAGTCTAATGTGAGATAACTTAAAACATCTCCACGTAGAAATTATTTCTCTGGGTTTAATAATTACTTGATATTATATGTCTCTAGTCTAGTAAGAATAGGTACAAAGATTAACTTTGGATTTTCAGGGTAAAAGCAACTTGGGAAAGTAGAGACAATCAGGGTAGGCCAGTCTGTCAAGGGACTTATCTGGGCATGAAAGGAGAAATTGTTTGAGGCTAGAGGTGGGGTTCAGTGTCAAGAGAGGGTTCTTCTTAAATAAGATGGAACTTCACTGTACCTGAAAAAGACCTATAGAAAGAGTAAAAGGAATAATAGCTAAGCCTTGAATAAAATGGAACAAGATATCATCAAGAGTAAAGGAGAGGTATTATCCCTAAACTGGGTGCACAGCTCCTATTCTGAGTCTAAAGCGGAGACAGGAGGAAGAAGGGTGACATGGACACATTTGTAGGTAAGAGAGGGGATGGAGTTTACTAAGGATGGAACTTACAGTTGTCATTTTCACTGTGAAGTAAATGGCTTGTTGATTTGCTTAGTATATAGGTTTGGGGTTTGGTTAGGGCCTTTGAGGGTATAGTGTTTTGCAGGGCAGTCCATGTTGTTGAGTCCATGTGTAATCCCTACCACTATTGTCATTTTGTTCATGAACCCAGTAAGCAAGCACTGTGCAGAGCAGGAGGTCTTGTCCACATAATTGCTGGATGCTTTCAATATTGGAGCAAGCATTCCAGTGGTTCCAATGGTTCACTCATTTCCTCACACTCTAGGCCCTTTGTAAAACATCTGTTGATGCCTTCTTCTTGCAAGTCTCCTTATCCTCATTTCTCTAATCCTTTTAAAAAAATCATTAAAAATTGCCCATAAATGTATGTAGATCCATGCCTCTGGCCATCTCTTCTTCCAGAAAAACAAACAAACAAACAGTGAAAACCATTTGTTCCAGTTGAAGTTCTGCTCAACTTGGAGTGTATTTCCTTCCAGGCTGTCTCTTGGAGTCTTCCTTAGCTGGTGAAAACGACAGCATTTCATTTCTGGTTGGAACCAGATTATTATGCAAAGTCATTTGGAAATAAAACTCCTATATTTCCTCCTCAGCCCTGAGGTCATAAGGAATTCTCCCATGAGGTCATAAATGTGCACTGAAATGGAGGCGTTTGTTTAGCAAAGTAGGCACCGCACAGAGAGAGTGTGAGTCGATTGCTTATACAACTTGTTATACAACTTGTATATTCATTACTTGGTCAGGCCACAGAATTGCTTTTAACACATTTACTTGATGATGGAGTGCTCCGAGGAATACCCGAACTTATGGTTTAACAGATTAATAAAACTAGAACAGCTCGGCTGGGCATGGTGGCTCATGCCTGTAATCCCAGCACTTTGAGAGGCCAAGGCAGGTGGATCACCTGAGGTCAGGAGTTTGAAACCAGCCTGGCCAACATGGTGAAACCCCATCACTACCAAAAATGCAAAAATTAGCCGGGCATAGTGATGGGCGCCTGTAATCCCAGCTACTCGGGAGGCTGAGGCACAAGAATTGCTTGAACCCAGGAGACGGAGTTTGCAGTGAGCCAAGATCGCGCCACTGCACTCCAGCCTGGGTGAAACAGCGAGACTCCATCTCAAAAAACAAACAAACAAACAAAAACCTAGAACAGCTCATGACAGAGAGCTTGGGTTGAATGTTCTCTCTGTGCCCCATGTTCAGATGGTCACTCTCTTCCAAGTTCCTATTTAAAACCAAGAATAATAATTCTTGGTCAAAATCTATTATTTTAAAATAATATTTTTCGACCAAGAGGAGTTTGGTTTAAAACCCAAGAGAACTTCATTGTGATTCTCCTATTGTGGCCTGAGAGAGGCTCTGCATAGCACTGACACTTTAAACATCATTCGCTCTGTTGACTCTAAAGAACCAAGTGACATCAGCTTGCAGTATTCCATGATGCAGCCACCAAAACTTCTCTTTCTCTGGGCCCCATTTCAAATTTCTGAATTATCACTAAATTAGTTTGGGAAACATGACCAAATGCAGTTTTGTGTTACCTCTGAAATCCAAAGACACCCACAAGTGACAGATGCATATTGCTTTTAGGGGTAGTTAGTGCAATTTGTCTTAAATTCTGAAAAGGATAAATATATATACAGCTAAGACCAGTGGACTCCAGAAACATGGTAGCTGACTCAAATTATACCCAGTTTTAAAAACGCTTTTCCTTTTGGTGGTGGTGTGAGGGGTAGGATGGAGCAATGTGGTTGGAATCGAGGAGTTATATAATTTAACTTAGATAATAACTTAGATGGTTGATAACTCTTTTAGTCTTGAGGAGCCCATGATTAATTAGCCTTTAGTTATTTTCTCTGTGAAACAAACCATTCTGCTTATTCCTTTAGTTCTACTGCTTATTGGGGAAACCACACTCACTTTGCACCTGACAGTCAAGTTGTATTTTTTTGGATTCCTTCCACTGGGACATTCCATCATCCCCATTGAATTCAGAGAGCCCATTTTAATGGTAACCTGTTCATGTTCATCCTTCCTCTACAAAGACCCACTACCATGAGTGTTATGGAAGTCTGTGCTAGTCCCACCAATGTATTTGTCAATGTCTTGGTGTGGAACATCTTAGTCCATTTGGGTTGCCAAAACAAAATGCCATAAACTGGGTAGTTTGTAGACAACTTTCTCACCATTCTAGGGGCTAGGAAGTCCAAGATGAAGGTGCCAGCAGATTCAGTGTCTGGTGAGGACCCACTTTCTGGTGCATAAGTGACAACATCTCATTGTGGCTTCACTTGGTGGAAGGGGCAAAAGCTCCCTTAGGCCTGTTTTATAAGGATACTAATCCCATTTATGATCTAATCTTCTCCCAAAGTCTCCTCCTCTTAATACCATCACCTTTAAAGGTAGGGTTTCATATATGAATTTTGAGGGGACACAAACATCCAGACCATAGTAAGGTTTTTTTTTAATGCTCTTTTACAGAAGATCCTTAAAGAGATAGGTGAATGGTTGGCATATTCTATATGTATTCCAACGTTTATTTCTCCCTAACTCTTTGAATATTTCACACCACTGGTGATAACATCCTAAATTCTGTGCTTCAGAAATGTGTGAGGGTTTCTTGGAAGCCACAGTGATGGGTGGATTGGAGGGTACCACAATCATTTAGTGAATGAGATCAAAAGAGTCTAGATATCCTGAAGTATCAGGGCAGTTCCTCACTATAAGAAGTTATCCACGTGCTGTGTAACTTTTGAATGCACTACCGGGTAATTGTGCATGTGAAGAGCTTACAATTACCCTATAACTGATCCTGGAAATGACCTCCACGTCATGTAAAAAGTACAAAGTATGTTTGCACAGTTTTATTCATTCTGACTTTTCTAGTAATACAAATAAAGGAAAAATATAATTTGTTTATGTCTTCAACTTTACTAACAGTTGCTCACCATTTTGATAAAGTCTCATCACTGACTTTCAGACTATTTATTTTACTTGAATCACCAATAAAACGTAATTTCATCAGTTCGAATGTATAGACATTACTATCACATATAATCTATTTATATATAATAAATAAATATGTTTTAAAATGTCAAATATAAATAAAAATGTTAAAATCAAGAAAATATTTAAAATTGGATGCTCTTATTTCTCATACAAATAGACAGTTACTAACATGCCTACTCTAATACAAAAACTGTAAAAAACATGAAGCCTAATTGGAAGACTTTGCAAAGAAAAAATAGTCATCAAATATATATATTAGAGTTCCAAGATTTAAGGGAAGACTTAGGAAACCTCAATTTTTCCCTGGAATATTAGAAAAAAATAGTCAGAAGGATAAAACTGTATTGTTTATCACAAAATAACAGAATCACAAAATGTGTAAGCCATGCAAGTTGGTAAAAATTATCTTGTCAACTGGTATAAGAAGTATAATAATGAAAGAATATGTAAAAAAATCTATTCCACTGAGCAATCATATTGTTTCAAGTTGAGGGAAGATGTAGAAAATCATCTGTGTAATGAACTGCATTCAAGCAAATTTTCATGACAAGTGGATGTTAGCACTCTTTGTGTTAAAGGAAAAAAGTTTTTCCTAATTGCACATCTAAAGTTTATAAAAAATACAAAATTCATAGCAGGAATGTTATTTTTAAAATTACTGATGGCAGCATTTCTGCTTCCATGTGAAAGTAACAGTTTCAGGCCAGGTGCAGCAGCTCATGCCTGTAATTCTAGCTCTTTGGGAGGCTGAGGTGGGAGGATTGCCTGAGCCTAGGAGTTTGAGAACAGCCTGGACAACATGGCAAGACCCCATCTTAAGAAAAAATAAAGAAAAAGAAAAAAATAGGAAAAGAAAGTAACAGTGTCTGGAATCACCCCTCTGTTGTAAGCAATGAAAAAAAAAAAACAAAATAAAATATAGAAAAAACTATGTTTACATACTAGACAATAGAAAGTATAGGACTTGTCTCTCAGACAAAGCAAACCACTGAAATGAATACTATGATCTCATCAGCTTTCTTCCAAGAGAAAATTTCAAGATGATGGAAGAGAGAGTGAGATTCTTCCACTGGTCTTATTGACTTGAGGAGATGGAGACCAGATCTTAGGGAGATCAAGCAATCTAGAATTTGTGGGATAGAATATCAAAAAAGAGGAAACTTTGCAGTTAAGGCTACAAAATCTGCATGGGGTCCTGTTGGGTCTTGACTAAAACCCAAACTATATATGCAGAAAGTGAGCTCGCATGAGCCAACATAAGACAAATTCCTTGGAAACAGCAGTTGCCAGAGATGAAAACTCCCAAGAGTTCATACCGGGGCAGAAAATATATGAGTTGCCACTAACCAGAGTTGAAAAGACTCACTGTATACACAGGGCAGTCAGTGAAGATCCTAAATTGCTCATATCATAGAAGTGGGGGCTAAATAAACCCAAGGGTAGTGACTACTCTAAACAAGCCTTCTAAAAGGCTTTAAAAGCAAGCCTCAAATGAATCAAACTGTCCCTCAAGTAACTTGACAGCTTGCCAAAAAATTTCAACACCACTTAAAAGGAATACAACAAAATCTGGCACACACAAGAAAAATCCACAATATCTGGCATCCGGTCAAAAATAAGTAGACATACAATGAAGCAGGAAAATATGGCCCATAACCAGGAAATGTCAGATAACAGACATAAACAGAAATAAAGATATGATAGAATTAGCACACAAGAACATTAAGAAAGCTATTGCAATTATGTTGAATATTCTCAGGGTTGTCATTGGAAACATTAATGTTCATAATTAAGAGAAAAAATGGCACATATGAAAAAGATAACTTCTAGATATGAAAAATACAGTACTAAAAATAAAAATATCACTAAATGAAATTACCAGCAAATTGGTCTTTGCAGGAAATAAGAAGTATAGTGAGTTTAAAGATAAAGCAATAGAAACTAGCAAAAATGAAGAATATAGAGAAAAAAGCACTAATTATACACAATAACTCGGTGACCTGTGAAGAAATATCAAGTTGTCTAACATTTGGGCAATGGGAGTTCCAAAAGGAGGAAGGGGAGAAACAGCAAAAGTACTTGAAGAAATATCTGCAGGGTTTCCAAATTTAATGAAAACTAATATCAGACAAAGCAGACTTCAGAACAAGTAATTTTAGCATAGACAAAGGGGGACTTCATTAATAAATATAAAGCATTCTATTTATTCAGATTTGACAATTTTAAATGCACGCACACTTAATATGCTTCAAATAAGTTTCAAAATATATGAACAACTGAAATAGTAAAATGATAAAGAAACAAATACACAAATATAGTTGCCTATTTCAACCTCTTCTCTCAGTACTTGTAGAACAAGTAGACAGAAAACCAAAATGTTATAGAAGACTTAAACAGCAGTATCAACAAATTCCTCCTCATTGACATTTATATAAAAATTTACTTTATAACTTCGTGTACATATTTTCAGAAGTATATGAAACATACGTCAAGCTAGTGCACATGCTAAGCAGTAAAATGAGTCTCAATAAAATTAAAAGAATTAAAATTATCTTGAGCAAAGATGGAGTTAAATTGATAACAAGATAAATATTTACTGCCACATTTTGCTGCCTTGAAACCCACACTTTTTGGGTACTGCCTCTTCCAGGAGAGCTGTTAACCTAACACAGCTTCATCTTCCCCTGACATTCATCTTGGTAGTTTTTAAACAGTAGTTAAGATACAAGGAAAGGTGTGAATGAGGAACAAGAGCAGATGATCTCACAGTATTTCAAAGGCAAGTAGCTGCCAACCTCTGGCCTTAGCTTGGTGGGAGGGGAGGAAGAATATTTGAAGAAACCTCAAAGCAAGCAACTAAATTCTTAGACTAGAAATATTCTTATAACTAAAATTAGACTGTTTTGTGACTACACAGAACCATAGACCTGCTTATAACTTCAGAGTAAGCAGAAATGCCATATGAGGTAAGTTTCCAACCAGGTGCTATGGTTTGAAGGTAGGTTCTCTCCAAAATTTATGGTGAAACTTAACCTCCAATGTGGTGGTGATAAAAGGCAGGGGTTTTTGGTGTGGTGGCTCAAGCAGACCTAGGTGTGGCTAAGGCTGCTGCTCTGGAAGATACAGGCTGTAAACTTTGATGGCATACATGTGGTGCTAACTCTATGGGTGTGTAGGGTGCACAAGCTGGGGAGGTATGACTGCCTTCACCTAGATTTTGAAGGATCCCTCAGAAAGCACAAGCAGAAAACTAACACAGGGTTGGGGCTACCACAAAGACACCCCACTGGGGCAATATCCAGTGGAGCCATGGGAGCAGGGCTATGCCTGCACTCCCAGAACTATTGAGCCACCAGCATGCAGCACCAGCCTGGGAAAACTGTAGGCAGGGGGCTTAAATGAGTGACAGCTGAAACATTTAAGTTGAACTGGTGGGGACCCCAGTGTGTCCAGAGGTTCGACATGGAGTCAAAGATTATTGTCAAGCTTTAAGAGTTAATGTTGTTTGCCTTGTTGAGTTGGGGACTTACTCGGTACCCATTAGCCCTTTCTTCTGGCTTATTTCTCCCTTTTAGATTGGAAGTGTGGGTCCTGTTTCTGCCTAGCTATTTGTATTTTGGGAGCATATAACTTGTTTGATTTCACAGGTTAACAGCTAAAGAGCAATTTGCCTAAGAAAGAAACACACCTTTGAGTCTAACCTATCTCTGACTTGATGACAGTTAGGTGAGAACACGGACTTTACACTTTTGTGTGGAAGATGGAATGAATTAACATTTTGGAGACTACTGGGATGGAATGAATGCATTTTGTATGTGAGAAGGACATGAATTTGGGGGGCCAGTGTCAGAATCTTATGGTTTGAATGTGTCCTCTCCAAAATGCATGTGTTAACACTTAATTTCTCTTCTGGTGGTATTAAGAAGTGGGGCCTTCTAGGAAGTGATTATGTGATAAAAAGGGCTGGAAGGAACTAGCTTAGGCCCTTTTCTGCTCTTCCGCCATGGGAACACAGTGTTCATCCTCCTCCCGCTTTGTCCCTTCTGCCATGTGAAGGTACAGCTCACCCCTCTGGAAGATGCAGCAGCAAGGCACCATTTTGGAAGGGACACTGGGTCCCCGCCAGATACCAAGTCTGCCGGTGCCCTGATCTTGGACTTTGTAGCCGTCACCACTGTGAGAAATAAACTCCCATTCTTTATAAATTATCTAGTGTGTGCAGTTTTGCCAAAGCAGCATGAACAGACTACTACACAAGGGCAGAAGAGACTACCCTCACTGAGTAAATGTTAAAGATCTGTGGGGACACAAAGCTGAAGTTGTGTTTATGTATCCTAATATGGTGGCTGCACCGGCTATCAGGTAGGGTAACCACCTAATTTATCATGTAAACAGAAGAAAGGGAACCTTTTAATAGTTTAACACATTGGGCACAAACCCATACTATCCTGAGCAAACAAGGCTGTATGATCATTATGGGAGCATTATATTCCTTGATCTGCCAGTGGCCATCTACCACATGGAAAGACCCCGCCCGAGAAGAAAGCCAACAGAGTTCAACGCAAGACTGAGAGATGGAGGGAAAGAGGCAGGGCTGCTGGTGTTCGTGAAATGCCAGAGCTTCACTAGGTCCTGCTGCTCACTGCAAAGACTTCCAGTCGCTGAGACAAGGCTTTAATAGGGTGCTACAGCCAAGAGAAGGGATATACAGTCTCAAATCCCATCTCACCAACCAACTAAAATTGGGGGGTTTTTATAGCAGGGAAAACAGGAATTAGAGAGGGGTAAGGAAGCAAACATGATGGATAAGATGTCTGACATCTCATTGTCTGGATGTGGTGATCGGACAAGTTTTATTTCCTTGGCTGAAGTTTGTTTTCCTGAGGTAGGAACTCAGATGAGACAGATGTACATTTCAAGTTTTAAACTTAGGAAGGTTAACTTGTATGTTTATTCAAAAAATCCCATAAATATCAGCTCTATGAGATGATTGGGCCCATTTCAATGGCATGATCTTTGGCCCTTCCCAGGTGTGTGTGACCCATTAAATTTTCTCTCTCTCCCTCCCTCTCTTTTTTCTTTTCTTTCTTTCCTTCTTTCTTTATTTATTTCTTTTCTTTTTTCTTTATTGTTATATTTTGCTTGAACTGATCAGTTTAACCACTATCACTTGGAACAAACAGAAAATTAGTACACATCACTTTCTCAGACATGTGAGCAAAGATGAGCTAGTAGATTAGTATCTTGTCATTTTTGTTTGACACTACACTTGAGAATAGGCTTTTAACAAAAATTATACATAAAAACTGACAAATCGCTATTATATGCATATTGCAACTAACTACTTTTACCAACATTAAAATCTGCTAATTACACATAAAATAAAATGATCTTTCCATTTTCTTAGCAACACCAAGAAAAACAGGACTAAAGACTAGGCTAAGATTTGGATATTGAAAAGCATGACCAGACAGCAGAAGTGAGGTTGGTTTTAATACAGATAGTACAGATAGAACTTTCTTTCTTCATTGGGGTTTAACTGATGTTCAGGTAAGTCGACCTTATTTTCTATTCCACTTTTAAAAACTTTAAATACATGCAGTTTTCACTGACTGTATCTCCCCTGTGTATTTACAAATACTTCAGCAGATTATACTGAACTTGCATCATTTCTTTTTCTTTCTTCATACTCCCTGAAATCATAATGGCAAAACCGAATCTTGTTTTTTTGCAAATGGTACTCGGTTGGCGAAATTTGCCTTAATGATACACTAAAATTGCTGCTTCACATTTCAGTCATATTTTGTGCAAGACTCTCTCAAACTAACTATGGAAAATTATGATAGAAGAGCAAGGTGGGTCCTAAGGCTTCACAAATGAATTATCTTTTCCCTTTCATATAGAAGATTAAGATCCAAATCCATTTTTAAAGATTTTAAAATTTTCTCTCCATTAGAGAATAGTTTCAGAATAACTCAGTTTTATTAAATGCGATTTTACATCCTTGTAGTAAAAGAGTCATAATGAATAAAAATGAGTATGGTCAAATTTAGTATTGTGTAATAATTTTCATGTTATCAGAAGTAATTATTTGATTCATGGCAATGCCTGAATATCAGAAAATTTACATTCACATCCTTTCTTTCCTGAACTCTCCAAATTTGCACTTCCTCAAACCTACTTTCAGACTTTTTACACTTGTTCCCAAAATTCTTTTCTATCATGGCTGTGTCTCAGAGTTATTAGGGATGGAAAAGAACTATCTTCCCAGAATGGGGATGTATAATTTTAGTTCCCAAAATGTAATTTTTAAATCTACAGTCTTCCTTTATGCCTTATATAGTAAAAGTTCTCTTCTTAGGCTGTTTACTGAGTGAAATATATCCTGATCCAAATACTTAAAACAGATTTTAAAGTAGAGATTTAAAAAAAAAAATATATATATATATATATATATAAAGCTTAGCCAATGATATGCCAAATTTCCTTGTCCAAATATCTGAGCTCTATCACTTAATGCCTAGGAGACCTTCTTCTCACCCATTTTGTTGCAATGGAAATCATAGCATTTGGCAAATGTGAATAGAATATTTATGAGAAATAAATGAGACAACATTTAGATACCTATAACAGTACCTGGTATATACACTTTAATTCTTTTGAGTATGGAGCTAATTATTTAAGGGAAACTTGGTTCTTAGCTTTTTCAACACCAATTGCAGTCAGAAATTCACTATTTCCATGTTATAATCCCAGAGTCTTTCTGAAAAAGATCAATGCAAAAACTCTGATCAGAAAGCCAGAAAAATCCAGTTATCTAGTGCTCAGAAATGGAGTAAATGAATCACCTACAGATGTCAAAAAACTGCAGCTCATACTAACATTTGAACAAATGATTAAGTTGAACTTAATCCCAAAATGACCTAAACAGTTTAAATGCTGTTTATTAAAGCATTAAAACATGTATTAAAGTACATAAGCACTGGAGGTAGAAACATTTTCATGCATGAATTTAGACTGCAGGAGAAATAAAATCTTTCTTTTAAGCAACACAAAGGAAGTAAAACCAAATTAATCAAAACTAAAAGATACTGCTTAAAAGAGAGAAAAACACATTTAGTTACCTGTTTATGTTTGATAGGCTTCCATGAGAATTCGTGTCTGTGGCTTTATCTGAATGAATATGGTTCCTCAATACGTAATCTTTATGCCTTCTTAACCATGAAATTAAAAAAAAAAACAGAGAAAAGGGAGCATAGCTAAGAGAATTTGGAGGTGTACCAAAATTTTGTGGTATAAGTGAGACAATATATGGCATAAAGCCATGCTTTTCCATCTTCATTGCACATTAGTATCCTCTGGAGTGCTTTAAAAATGCCTGCAGGAAATGCAAATCAAAACCACAGTGTAATACCACCGTACTCCTGCAATGATGACCATAATCAAAAAATCAAAAAATAATAGATGTTGTCATGGATGTGGTAAAAAGGGAACACTTTTATACTGCTAGTGGGAATGTAAACTAGTACAACCACTACGGAAAATAGTGTGGTGCTTCCTTAAAGAACTAAAAGTAGATCTACCATTTGATCCAGCAATCCCACTACTAGGTATCTACCCGGAGGAAAAAAAGTCATCATACAAAAAAGACATTTGCACATGCATGTTTATAGCAGCACAATTCACAATTGCAAAAATATGGAATCAGTCCAAACGCCCATCAATCAACAAGTGGATAAAGAAAATGTGATATATACATATATATACACACACACATAAACACACACACACATATACACACACACACATATATACATATATATACACACATATATACACACACACACATATATATACATATATATACACACACATACCATGGAGTGCTACTCAGCCATAAAAAGGAAAAAAATGGTATTCGCAGCAACTTGGATGGAGTTGAAGACCATTATTCTAAGTGAAGTAACTCAGGAATAGAAAACCAAATATCATATGTTCTCACTCATTAGTGGGAGCTAAGATGTGAGGACTCAGAGGCATAAGAATGATACAATGGACTTTGGAAACTTGGGAGAAAGGATGGGAGGGGATAAAAGACTACACCTTGGGTACAGTGTACACTGCTCAGGGGAGGATGCACCAAAATCTCAGAAATCACCACTAAAGAACTTACTCATGTAACCAAACACCACCTGTTCTCCAAAAACCTAATGAAGTTTAAAAAGCAAAGAAAAAAAAATGAAAAGATAAAATAAATTTAAAATAATGTGGGTGGAGTTTAAAAGGTAGGGAGTAGATTCAAGAAGGCCAGCTGGGATCATGGTTTACACATCTTATCCTGACAGAAAGAAGGCTTTCACTGGGGCTGGTGATGAGGGGTAACTGAGATGTTTAGAATCCAGTGGACCTCAGATAAATCATTTTGTGATTGGGGTAATTTTGATCATGGAGATATAGACAATGGTGAAAAACAACAAATAAAGAAAGAAAGAAATAAGCCTGAGACCCAATTCCTGGGATTGTGATTTAATTAGTCTCATATACGGCCAAAATATTTATATATTTTCAAAGTTATCCAGGCGATTCTAATGAGTACCAGGGATCAGAAGCACTGGATGAAGATTTTACTGGGTGTAATTGCCTAGGTTTAAATCCTTGCTCTGTTTTTTACTTGCTGTTTATACTTAAGCAAATTATTTAACCAATCCAAGATTTAGTTTCCATGATACATAATGTATTATTCACTGCCTGGCATAGAGCTGACGTTTTGTAGTGCTACCTATTTATGAAATATTTTACTATAAATATTTAAACAGAAAGTCTTCTACTGTGCCCTGTCAATATATATTTTCCTCATGCTCTGAGTGCCACTGGATAATCTCATGCAATGAAAGCTAGCATTAGAGACAGTGGTCACCACTCTCTGCTATTGGTTATTTGGGCGAACTACTAAAAACTATCCACAAAAGTGTGCTGTGCTGTGGTAAGGTTGAGTGTTTTGAAACGTGTTATCTACTCCTCTAAGGCTTCACTTTATGCCATTTATTTTATGATTCATAGAACTCATAATGGATAACAAAGTTACTAATAGCACAAAAAGTGCTTCAAAAGCATGTAACTGATATAAAAATTATTTATGGGATATTTAGGGGTTTTTTTAATACTAGGTCTTCAAAATCCCACAGTATATCTCACTTTAAACCAGGCACATCTTTTAATAGATATTCCATAAAATAAAGGGTTTAAGATGTTCCATTAGCCACTTATGGCTGGTAGCTTTGGAGCTTCTCTGCCTGGACTCAAGCAGTGTGGATTTGAATCATGGTTCTGTGGTTTACCGGTTATGTGATATTGACAAGTTTCTTAACCTCAGTTTCCTATCTATAAAACGATCACATGGGATAACCTTTGTAAATTCCTATGACAGTATCCATAATAAACTCTTGATTAATGTTAATAATAATCATCATTATTCCTATCATGTTCATTGTCGCTAATGGAATGCTGTGCAATTGTCAGTGCTGAGTCAACACTGTGACTTTCTGAAATCTCTTCTCTAGAAACACTTCTAGTAAATGTTCAAATGAATGTTAAAACATTATATAAAATATTTATTACTTATTACAATAAAAGGGTTCTAATTCCAGGATCATTTCTCCCAACTGTGTTTAGAGGAAACCTCTGGCCACATTCAATGATTGAAGAACTGTAGGAATTTTTTTTATAGTACATCCCTTTTATTACAGTACAGGATGGTATAAATCTCCAGGGAAACCCCATGTAAAAACTTATGAATTACAGTCATTCTCATATTCCCCAAACACATTTGACCATAAAACCCTTTATTTTATGGAACATCTATTAAAATGTTGTGAAAGTTGTGCTCTACAGGCTATGCTTTGGGAAATGTATGGAAAATATCTGCTCTGGTGATTGATCTCTGTCATAGAGAAGAGCCTTGCTTCTGTTTACCTCAGACAGGAGGGAGTCGGGTTCCACAGTGCTTCAAAACAGTGGGGCATGGTGCAGCTGCCTGATCCACAAGTCACTGAGATCTCTGAAAGTGCTCATCTGAGTGGCCTCAGCAGCCTCATCATGCTGCCGCTTCTTGTGCTGAACATGATTAAAAAGTCACTCGTGAACCCTGTGACCAGCATGTGGCACCATATCACTTTAAAGCTCACCTGCAGCTAATTACTAACAGAATGTTCAGGGTCACGTCATTTCTCTCCTTCTCTTCCTCTTATTTTCCTTTTAGATATGTGATAAAAAATATTTCTAAATCATGCTGAAACAGACTAATGAGAATTTTAATTAAGTCCAATCTCTGGGCTTAAATATATCTTTAATATGTGGAACACTATCACTAAAATATGCAATCTTGCATCCAATATGAACATATGAATAAAATACTAGAAATCTGTACTTTTCATCAACATAGTGGAATAGCCTAACAAAATGTAATTTCAGGTTCAATATTTGTTGAATCTCCATAGGGGATTTACTACCTATTCAAATAGATAAGAATAATATGGAATAAGTGTTTTAATAATCCACTGAAGTATATTCTTCCATAATACTGGAAAAGATTTTTACTTTTTTGCAATCTACTTCATTATAACATTTTTATTAATTGTAAAATAATAAGCCATAACCCAATAAAGGCAAATAACCTCAATTTCTAGATGTCCCACCTTGAAACACAATCCAGTATATATTAATGAACAAGTCATTTAACCTTTCTATGACCAGAGCTTCTCATCTGTAAAATAGAAGCATTTTTGGTACTTACCTCCTAGAACTATTGTGAGGAATATATGAGATAAACGGTGTAAATTTGTATTGTGCATGTGAAGGACAGACTCTAATGTAGCCCTCATAATCCCTAACAAGGTATTCATGGCTTTGTATCATGTATTTCCTTTTAGTGTAGGTAGGGCCTATGTCTTGCCTCTGACTAGTCGAGGCAATGAAGTACATGTGATTACATATAAATGATTACTTTACATGAGATCACACCTTGGGAGGAGACTCTCCCTTTTGCTGCCCTTGAGGAAGCAAGCAGCTATGTTGGGGAAGCCCACATGGCAACTGAGGATGGCGTCTAGCCAGCAGCCAGCAAAAAACTAAGGCCCTCATTTTGGCAGCCTATGAGGAACTGAACAATGCCAACTACCACATGAGCTTGGAAGCAAATTCTTCCCCAGTTGATCCTCAGATGAGACCACAGCCCCAGCTGACACCTTGATTGTGGCTTTGGGAGACCGTGAAGCAAAAAATCCAGTTAAGCTATGCCTAGACTCTGAACCCCAGAAACTGAGATAATACATGTTTGCTTTTTTAAGCTTCTAAGTCTGTGGTAATATTATTATGCACCCACATATGATTAACAAGGTGCATGATGCATAGTAAATGTTCAAATATATTAACAATATAATAGCTAATATATTTGAATATTTACTATGTCATGCACTGTATTAATCATATGTGGCTGCATTATTATATTGTTAATATTATATTCTTAATATAATAGCTAATATAATATAATCATATTGTTATAATTGTTATTGCAAATAGTAGAAATCTTAATTCACATTTAATTTGACTATTTTATGGGCTAATGAAGATTATATTTCTTATTTTTACTAAAACTTTTGAAGTTGTGATTTTGCTACTCAACTTTCTATTTGTTTTTATGAACAAATATGCTATTTACTCACTTACTTTCCCTTTTTCTCCAAATTATTTTTCACAGCTGAGATGTGAGGAGATGATTGCAGGTACGGATTCCTTTCTCTTTCAAAATTTGTATTTGGAGTCCAAATACTTTTGACTAGAGGAAAACAAGGCCCAATTCATGCCTCCAGGTGTACAGCATGCAGTCAATGAATGTTAGTTTCTTCCTATACAGTCTACAAAAAAAAAACCCAAAATACATGTATCTATATAAGAAAATGTAGGTAGGAGAAGGGAGATTTGGAAGGTGAAGCTTCTCTTTTTTGGAAGATTAATTTTTAATCAAATGAAAACATCTATTAAGAAGCATCAAATTTAGTGGTACAACTCAATGAATTATCACAAATTGGTGATGACTCTGGTAATCACCACTGATGTCTACACATACAACATTACTAGAATACCAAAAGTCCCCTTTGTACCACCAAATTTAACCATAATCCTGGCTAATTTTTCCTATTTGTAAAAACCCTTTTCCATTTTTTTCCTTGCTTACTGCATCAGGAACTGGGACAAATGTGTCAAAATCTCCAACATGAATTTGGGTGCACATTTTTTTCCCTTAGTTCAGTCACATTTTGACTTATAGTTTGAGGCCAAGTTATTAGGTTCATACAAATTGGATATGTTATAGATACTTGATGAGTGGAACAGTTTATTATTATAAAATATTCCTCTGTACCTTTGATAATGCTTCTTGTCATTAGAATTTACATTTTCCAATTGGAAGCCAATAATCAAAGGCTATAATTACAGAAAAAAATTACACAGTTGTTAATTTTTACTTAAGACATTTATATTGCATAGACTTTTAACCATATACAGCTTTATTTGACATTTAAATATGTTCTATCCTAAAATGCAGTAATAGCCACTAAATTGATGAAAAAGTATAATCTGAACAACATAAAGTTCTCTCTAACCACTCAAAAATCTTGAATGTATTATAAAACAGGACTTACAGACCACAAAATGCTGTATAGTTGTAGTCTTAATTAATAACTATACCAAACTTACATTTAAGTAGCTAGAACTACCATATTCAAACTACTTGCTTTCTATGAGAAAAAGACTCTGAATTCTAACAATGTAATTAAAACTGAAACCCTTCCCAGAGCCACAAAGACAGCAGCTGTTGAAGTCTCCAGTTCCTGCAGCACCCTTCCTCCTCCCATTGTCACTTTCCCCCTGCCAAAAAGGGGAAAAAAAAGAAAAATCCAAAAAAAGAAAACCATTTTTTTTTCTGCACAACAGTGGGAAAGATATTGCTAAATTTCCTTATCATATGGGTTTTTCCATGCTTCCCCCAGGGAAAAAAATAAATGATATCCCTCCTTAGGAGAGCACACATTGAGAGTAGCACTAAAAGACATTTAGATTTGAGAACCCGTGCCACTATTTGCTCATGGGACAGAACAAATCCCCTTCCCACAACCATCTGCTGACTATCCTCACTTCACCTTAGTTTTCTGCAAAGTGTAGAGACCGTGGGGCTAAAGTTTTGTGTTGTTCCTGATTCTGCTAGACTCATAGTGCATTATGATGGAGTGAGTGACTTAGAACCACTGTTGTGGGGAAAAGTGGAACTTTGCAGTGAAAAGAAGCTGAAGATAAGAGCAAAGAATTTTAAGAAGGAGGAATTGGTGGAGAAAGAACATGAACGTAAGGCAGGGTGTGAGGACAGGAATAAGGAAAGTGGTCACAGGACACACTCTCCCTTGAAAGGTCAAGAGTCTTTTGGTACTTTTCCTTATTTAGATTTAGGAGAAAATATAAGTCAGCCAGAAATTTAATCTCTTTTTTCCTATCTTAACTCTTTTTTAAATTTACTGTAAACTTTCTAGTTCTAGTAATGATTTTGCCTCTCTCTGCACAGACTACATGTAGCTTTTTAAAGATTAAAAAGTATTGTGTGAGAGGAAGGAGGATGAGAATGAGTGATAGGCCATTTTATAGGTGTTGGTGGAGAGCCCAGGGTCCATGAGGTTGACTAGAGTCTAGAAATATTAGATAACCACCTCAAATCACAGAGTTAGTGAGTGAAGAACTAGGACCTAATCCCTTTTGAGTCCAGTGCAGCTTTACATTTAGCCTCTAATTGCTTTTTTTCCACCTAAACATGTTATTCAGACTTGCCAGTTTCTAGAGCAGAAGGAAGAAAGTAAAATCTATACTTTTAAAAATCATTTTAAGAAATATATATATAAAATAAAATGTGTATATATATACACAAAGAAATATATCTGTGTATATATATCTACACAAAGAAATATATATGTGTGTGGTGTATATATATATACACCACACACACACAAAGGGTACTAAATGAAAAAATAAAGTCACGATCAAAAAAAATTGAAATTTAATATTTGCAATGTTCATCCTAAAGAGTATTTTTTTTCTAATTAAATTAGAAATCAGAATTGTGATGGAAATGCTGAATTGACCTGGACTATGCCAAGCAGCAATATTTGGACTATGACAAATCAATAACAATTGATTTTTTTCTACTCCTTTTGTTGTGTGATTAACTTATTTGTCCTCAGAGAAAAAAGGAATTTAATGAAAAGACACATTTTAAACGTACATACACAATGGCAACAGCATTATAAATATTGATTGGCTGGATCTGCCTGATATACAGCAAGTGCTCCTAACCCTGGTTTTACTAAAGCAAGCCGCATGTCATAGAACCATATGAAGTTGGATCTCAACCCTAGTGGGGACGATGACAGGGGGGTGAGGGGTGACAAATTACCTGTCGGGTACAATGTACACTATTTGGGTGATGAGTACACCAAAAGCCCAGAATTCCCACTATACAATTTACCCCGTGACCAAAAAACACTCGTACGCTTAAATCTATTGGAATTTTTTTAAAATAATAAAGTAAAACAAAAACAAATCTGAAAAAATTGGATCTCAGAATATGCCTCCAGTTTATTAGTTTTATGTCTTCTGCACATATTTTGGGGGGAAGAATCAATTTTTTGTTAGATTATTAAGTGGGATGGGTTTTATTTTAATATGCTTCCATGAGATATCTTTAGGTAAATGGAGAAAAAATAGGCTGTATTCTAGAAATATAGTCTGTTCTACTATAATGCTTGTTTCTAAAATACAACTCTGTTTCAATGTGATTGATATGTTAAGAAAGAAGTTGATCATAACACTAATTTGCTTATGCACAATACTGTCCACTAGGTGAACACAGAAAACTGCATTCACCTGAATAAAAACGTGTAGAAATACACACACATAGATACACTTCAAACATCTACCAGCTAGCTTGATTCAATGCATGTGTGATAAGCTGAACCTACCTTCTCTGGTGTTACAACTTTCCATCCAACTCCAAATAACCTTTCTTCTGCCACTTCACAATAATGCACAAGTTGCAGCCCTTCCAATGCCCAGTTATACAAGGAAATTCAGTTTTTCTCCAGGTAAAGTGCCAAATTTACTATAGATTTTGTTTTTTAAATTAACCATTTAATATGGGTAAAACTGTGCTGCCATTTTTATCAGCCCACTACTTTTTTTTTTTTCTTTTTTTGTTTTGTTTAGATGGAGTCTCACTCCTTCGCCCGGGCTGGAGTGCAGTGGTGCGATCTTGGCTTACTGCAAGCTCTGAACAGGCTCCTACTTTTTAAATATATGTCACTGACAGTTTTTGAGTGTTGGGCCCCTAGCCCCATTTCTCCCATATACCCTGTCTTTCTTACTGCATGATTTGTCTAATGCAGTACATTTTAGGAATATATCTGTTACAGCAGAAATGAAGATACCTTGAATAAACACTGTCTTCTCCCTGGGTTGATGTCCTCATCCACTGTTTTCTGTGGCTCTTAGCCCAGCCCTCTGAGAGCTTGTTCTTTACCTCTTATCCTCCTTAGCCATATCTGAAGTAGTTGCATGTGTGCTATGCCTCCTCAGACACTGCTCAGCTTTATCAGCCTATTTCCTGCTAAAGGGGATGATATTGCAACAAAAAATCCAGAACACCAGGGTCATGGGATGATATGACAGTTCCAGCCTATGTGACAGACCCACCATGTGGATAGGAAGGCATATTCCATTAGAATAAAAAGAAGAAAGCATACCAGGCAGACAACAACATTAATTAAAATAGTCACGAAGGCACGAGTGTGTCTCCTGACCCAGAATAAGAGGCAACTCTCATTATTGAGCCTCTTTGAAACCTTCTGGCTATCCTGGAATGGATTAGAATGAGTGATCTCATTTGTCTGTCAATACAGCCCCTTTCCCTAACCTCATGCCAACTCAGCTAGACCTGCATTGGGCTTGCTTATTCACACACCCAAACTCATGAACCTTTGTTAAAGAAGCCAGTGGAATTTGAGAAATTCACTTTTCTTCTGAACCATTCTGCTCCTGGAAATGCAGGTCAGAGTGTTTTTCATTAAAAATGCCACTGGTAATAAGTTCATTCACCCATAAACTTTCCTATTATTTTGTAATTTTTTTAAAAAAATCTCAATTGTTATGTATTCCTTATTACACCCTAAGCATTTGAGATTACAAATTTCTAATATAAAGACATTGTATATGAATAAAAACAGGAAGGTCGCATTGCCTTGTAAACCTGACGTACTAAAGGAAAATAACATGACATTTTACAACCAAGAATTTAGAAAGAAAAAAAACCTGAAATCTTTATTTTTTTCACAACATTTAAAGGACAATGGTTCAAATTATATTGAGAAATATAAAAATTTTGGAGAAAGGAAATTCACATCTATAAGCACATCATGTGGGAAGACTTTGTAATAAGAGTGCTTTGGAAATATTGCACTAGAAATGAGTAAAATAAATGAATGTTTAATGGTATCAGGCAATGGCAAGATATGTTCATCTCCATAAAGAGCCACACAGCTCTGGCATGAGGCAAGCAATGCCTTGAGGTCAGAGTACCTTTTGCCTGGGAAGTTCTTAGATGAGTAACAGCGAGGAAACTAACAGGTTAAGAGAAAATAATTGCCTTTCCTAAGACGATCCAAATAGTGTTCAAGTCTTCAAACCTTGTTTTGATGCTCTTTCCAGCATACCATACTGTTTGGTGCTCTTATCAATATACCCTGGTGTCTCCATACCCATACTGTGTAGAAGAAGAAACCTTGGACCTTGTTTATAGAGGAAGACTCCATACAGGCAAGGTTGGGATCCCTTGAAGAGTGTCACTGTGTAAGTATTATGGGTTAAATTGTGCCCTCTCCCCAAAAAATACATGTAAATTTTAACCTCTGGCACTGCAGTGAATATGACCCTGTTTGGAAATAGGGTCTTAGTAGTGTCATCAAGTTATAATGAGGTCATTTGGGCAGGTCCTAATTCAATATGACTGGCGTCCTTATAAGAAGAGAAGACACAGACACACAGGAGGAAGACAGCCATGTGACGACGGAGGCAGAGATTGGAACAATGTATCTACAAGCTGAGGAATGCCAAGGATTGCTGGCAAACATCAGAGCCTAGGAAGAGGGAATGAAGGAGTTTCCTACAGATTTTAGAGGAAGCATCGCCTAGCCAATACCTTCCTTCCTGAACTGCAAGACATGAATTTCTGTTGCTTTTAGCTTGGTTGAGGTTCTTTGTTACGTGACACATTACTATAGTATTTTTGTTTCAAAACAGGCATTGGACCCTGGCACAAGAAGCTGTGGCAGACACTGTTAGTTACCTAGATAAAATCCATACCTGTTCCATTGCATCTCTTCCCTGCTAAAAAATCCTGCTTTCGTTCAGACATTGAAAACCCATTTGCCTACTTCTGGCCCCACACAGAAGGTAAAATGTAAATTAACCTAAGTTACTCAGGGTCATCTCATCTCCTTTATCAGTGATGTTTTGTTAAACACTCTTTTTTCCCCTTAGACATTATCATGTGTGACGAGCGGCTTACATGGTGGTTTATGTTGTTCAGCCAGGTTGCTGCTATGAAGGGAAAGTCCACAAGAACCACAGAGAACTCAACCTGAATACCTGACAACACCGAGCCATTGAATTCATCACTCCTATAACTGCCTTATTCTGGGCTTCTTACCACACAATGTAGTATTATACCATAACCTTGTTTAGTTGGATTTTCTGTTACATGTTCCTGAAATCATCCCAGTTGATGGAAATGTGAAGGCAACAGAAAGCCATAGATTTTCCATGTCCTCATTACATTGTCCAGAGGCAGACAGTACCTGGGGGCCTCTCAGTGAGGCTTTACTGTCTCAAAAATGCCCACTGGATTGCATAAATCGACATGGTGTTTCTGCATCTCAGGTTATTCATTTTATGCAAAATATACATGTCAAGATTTTTACATTATTTACTAAATGCAGTGGCACAAGAAATATTCATAATGCATTTTGGATTATAAAAAAATGAAAACATTTAGCTTTTATACCTTTTCCATTATTTGTGTTCCAGAAGCAGCCACTGCAACTTATAATGATTTCTAACAATCATTCTCTCGGTTTTTCAACTCCTTTCCAATTTTCTGCATAGTTCAAAAGTCTAACTGTTATAATACCATGAAATCGTAGACTTGGGAAGGATTAAAAATTTATTTGACCCTCTATCACCCATTTGATATTTGAATTCTCCCTCCAGATCCTCACTGCAAAACCAGAATCTCCTTTCCAGTGACAGGGAACTTACTACTTACTCTATCTTCAGACAGTTTTATGTGTAAAAAGTTCTTTCTTTCTAGGTTAAAAAAAAATCTCTCCTTGTATATATTTTGCAAATGGCCTTAATTCTACCCACAAGGACCACAGAAAAATTTAATTACTCTTTCATGTAATAGCTGTTATCATGTGAAGTCAGCCATATAAGTCAGTTCTTTTCTTTTCAGTCCCCTCAATTCTCGTTTCCAGGACACACACACGTGCACACATACACACACACACACACACACACACTACTCCAAGAATATCTTGACTAGTGCCTTTAATTAGAACTGTCCCCCTTTCTTCATTATTTTAATTTTATTAATGCATTTAATGGTCATTGAAACTTTAGCTATTTACACACTCTGCAGCTAAGCCCATGCCATCTACTAAAATATTTACATTATGTCCACATTGTCCCCATTACATTTCATCTTGAGGGATGTGGTCCATTGATCAGTTATTTATTGCTTTCTGAGTCCTGGGCCAACTATCCACACATTTGCCATTTCAACAAGCCTTATTCTTTTCTTAAATTTGATATTCATCTGAAGGGTGAATTTGATATTTTAGATGAATTTGGTATTCATCTAAATTCATCCTTATTGTTTTTATCGTTAGACGAAACTTGCCTCTCTTCTCCAAATGGAGATGTTTAATCTATGTAAGCTTAAGGGTCCCCACTTGACATTTATCTAAGATTGCTTTTTAAATTCCAGGAAGACTCGAATGATGCAGACTCAAGGCGGACAACGAGGGAGGGAGGTACCTGCTTAGGTTGGCACCTGAACGTATTGGTATCTGCTGAGCCACCTCATGTTCATTGTGACTTTGGTTTTATTAAATGCAGATCCTGCCATATTATTTTTGTTCCTTGCAAAAAGTTCCCTTCAGGTCTGTGCCATGCTGTACCCTGAGCACAAAGGCTTATGCTGTTGCTCCCTTGCCAACTTGGTGATGTCAACCTAAATAACAAAGAGAGCCTCTCTAAAAGAAAACTATATTTATTCAGGAGTAGAACATTGCAATGGGAATACCCATGCCATATTAAACTATGTGCTTTTTCTGGGAGGTAAAGGAAGACAAAAGTTTTTAAACAAAAAATGAGGAGGATCACATAACTGTTTTGAGATAATTATCCTTGGCTACAAAGATCAATAACAAGGGTGATGCCAATTCAAAGTTGGACAGGCAGTTGCTGGAGAGATGTCCTTGCAGAAGGATTTTGTTTTTTTAGTATAAGATTGCAATGACCTTAGTTCAAGGTTATGGTTTTTTGTGGAGTCTTTTGTGATAGCTTTGTTATCGGGCACACAAGCATGAGAACCCCTCCTTCATAGACTTCCCTGGCTCTCTTTGTTAGGGTTCTTTATTGCTTTCAATATTAGTGACTTCTTTTTATTCTGACAGCTTTCACATTTGCCCCTTTTGATCAAGGTTTTTTTTTCCAAAAGCATCACTGATCAATCATCCTGCAGTTAGGTTTTAATGATCCTTGGTGCCTGGATGACTCTTTCCTGCTTGCTGGTTTCATCCCACATTAGGGGGAATGATTAGCAACTAGGAATCAGTATTCAAAACTTTTTTTAGCCACATTTCAGCAGCTAGGGAGTTTTGAAGGAAATGTCTCTAAAGCAAAATCTACTTGGAGTCCATTATTGAGTTCAATTTTGTCTGTTCCACAGTCTTTTGTTATCATGTCAAAGTGCTGGGCCAATATTATTCTGTTAGTAGTACTTCTGCAAAAAATTTAACAAGTAATAGATACGAAGTTTTAAAAGGGAAAATACAAAATAAAATTAATATTAATATGACAATCCCAGTTTGTATAATAGTTTTCAGCCATAAACCCAAGCTTAAAGGCAGTCAGTTTAATAAATCAAATGACCTTAGGGAGTTAGGTTGTAACTGTGTGGCCTGTTTTTTAAATTTTGCGTATATGAGTCTCAACTTTCCCAGAGGGATTTTTCCAGGTCCACCAAGCAGTATTAGCAATTGTACAGATATTTTTCTTACTTAACTAAGGGATTCTAAGGGATTTTTTTTTTTAGGTTAAGTTCTGTTAAGTTACCAGAAGAAGATACTGCTTGTGAAATTTCATTACATACAACATTATTCTGCTATATAAAAAGGTAGGCCTTTAGAGGGGTAAGAATCTCATTATGATACACAGTCCTGTTCTGAAGCCTTGGGAAGAACTTTTTACAGTGTAAAAATGTCACCTTCTCCTGCATCCAGCAGTTTAGTGGACTTTCTGTGCAGCCCATACATCAGGCACAAGCTTTATTTCTTAAAATGCTTCTAGTTTCAGCTAGGGCTTCAGGAAAATAGAAATTTTGGTTTTAGTTGGACAGTTGTAGCCAAATATTGAATAAAATTAGAAGAATTTAGGACCTAGTCTAGTCTCCAGGTAGATAACAAGAATTTGAAAACAATGCATAGGGTTGCAATCTAACAGGTGTATTACAGTTTTTCTTTTAGAAATATATTTTTCTCTCTCTGCATTGATTACATAGGAATACCAGATTTTTAAAACCTCTTGAGACAGGAAGCCAAACCAAGATTGACTTTAGATTGTACTTACAGTCTTGAGGTTCTTGGGCCTGCTAGCAAATAACAGTATTTATTTGTTTGTTTATTTATTTATTTATTTGCCAACTCACTATAAGACTGGGAATCCTTGAAGCTAGGCATTTTATGCACATTCTTGAATATTATTTCAGTCAAAGCCTCAGTAACGTAACCAATTATATCCTGCTGTAAAAAGAGAGAATTTATTGTGGCTCAAGCTTCTGCAACCTGTATCAGTAGCATGGTGTCAGCATCTGCTTCTGGTGAGGGTCTTAAGAAACTTACAATGATGGCGGAAGTTGAAGGGGGATGCTGGGGATCCAATTTTTTGTTGAACTATTGCAAATAACTGTATTGTCATAAAAATAAGAATACTCATGAATATTTTCTGAATTTTGGGGGATCAAGTAGGGAGAAAAAGTAAATGCTTCCATCTTTGTTCACTCAAGTATACTTTACCAAATTGTTGTAAATTATAGGTCATTTAAGAGAGAAAATTTTCTTAAATCTGGAAAATAAAGCATGTAAGTAAATAGTCAACAATCCTTCAAATAAAGGTCATAAAAACCTTATTTTCAGAAGTTACTGAATTTCATGTAATTGATTTTTTATTTTGCTTGATCTTTGTTAGCAGTTTTATAAATTCTTTTGTTTTTATTCGAGTCTGGAAAGTTTTTTTAGTGCATCAATCTTAAACTTATCAGAAATCTATGTCCACAAAGTACTTGTTAGAGTCTTTTTCATGAAACAATTTTGGAGTGTAGTTTTCAAAATGCTTTTAAAGAAAAATTCAAACCAATAACTCTGGATGAGAAAAGCTTAGAATAGCCATGATTAAAAATCTGATGATTGACAAGGAAATTGAGTTGTTTCTATTAAATACAGCATTTAAGATAACTAGAATCATGACTGATAGCATCATATCAAAACCAACACTTTTATACATTTTATGTAATCATTAGAATACTCACATAAATAACATACTCATAAAAAATGTAACTTTAGGAAAGATTTAACATAACAACCAGAATTATGCCTCATAACTTACTAGATTTCTATATACTGATATCACTTTTGAAACATTTATGTCAAAAACATACCCATAAATGTAACTGGAGGAACATCTAGTACAACTTATCATTTGACAATGCTTCCTATACAATTTACCAGGTAAGCTTAATCATTTAATACCTCTATAAGAGATACATTCTTTAAGGATCATTAGGGGCCCAACTGGAAAATCTCAGTTAATTTTACACCACAGAGGCTTAATTCAGAATTTTGGTCCCAGGGAAACCTGTAAAAGATGTCAAAGTGTCAAATGACTTGATCAAAACAGAATCACAGGTCACTCTACAAGAATACATTTTCGTTTAAGCAAAGTAATAATCAAAACACTTCTGTGTTAGTCCATTGCAGCATTACTATTAAAAAAAAAACTGAAGCTTGGTAATTTATAAAGAAAACAGGTTTATTTTGGCTCAAGGTTCTGCAAACTCTGTAAGAAGCGTGGTGCCAGCATCTGCTTCTGGTGAAGCCTTAGGAAGCTTACAGTGATGGCAGAAGTTGAAAGGGGATTCTGTGTATCACATGGTAAGAGAAGAAGCAAAGAGAGAAGGGGGAGGCTCTAGACTCTTTAAAGCAACCAGATCTTGCATGAACTGAGAGAGAACTCACTCAACACCAAGGGGATGGAGTGAAACCATTTATGACAAATCTGCCTCCATGATCCAACACCTCCCACTAGGTCCCACCTCCAACATTGGGAATCACATTTCAAGATGATCTGGAGGGGACATACATCCAAACCATATCATTCCACCTCTGGCTCCCCAGATCTCATGTTCTTAAACTACAAAATACAATCATCCCTCTCCAATAGTCCCCCAAAGTGTTACAAACCTCCAGTATCCACTCAAACGTTCAAAGTCCTAAGTCTCATCTGAGACTCAAGACAAATTCCTTCTACCTATGAGCCTATAAAATAAAAAACGAGTTACTTACTTCCAATATACAATGATGGTATAGGCATTGGGTAAAAATTTCCATTCCAAATGGGGGAAATAAGCCAAAAGAAAGAGGTAACAGGCCCCACACAAATCTGAAACCGATCAGTGCAGACATGAAACTTTAAAGCTCCAAAATAATCTCCCTTGACTCCATGTCCCACATTTTGAGGACAGTGGTACAAGAGGTAGGCTCACATGGCCTTGGGCAGCTCTGGGCAAACTCTGCCCTTTGGCTTTGCAGGGTGCAGCCTCTGTAGCTACTCTCACCAGTTGGAATTGAGTGTCTGCTGTTTTACCAGGCTAAGGGGGCAAGCTGCTGCTGGCTCTACCATGTTAGGGGATGCAGGGTTATTACCCACTTCCCACAGCTTTCCTAGCCAGTGACCCAGTGGGAGCTTTATGTGGGGACTTCAATCCTACATGTCTCCTTGGCACTGCTGTAGTAGAGAATCTTTGCAGGGACTCTGCCCTTGTAGAGTCTGAGTTGTAGCCTTCTGTCTTGGCACCCAGGCTTTCTGATACATCTTCCTAAATCCAGTTGGAAGCATTGAAGCCTCCTTTACTCTTGCATTCTCTGTCTAACTCCACATGGAAGCTATCAAGGTTTCCAGCTGCTTGTGTTCTCAAAGCAGCAGCCCAATCTGTATCTGGGGCCTGTAGAGCCAAGGCTGGAGCCACAGCTGCTGGGATGCAAGGAGCTGTGTCCTGAGACTGAGCAGTGCAGCAGTGCTCTGGGCCTGGCCCACTAAACCATTCTTTTCTCCTAGACTTCTAGGTCTGTGAAAGAGGGGGCTTCCTTGAAGATCTCTGAAATGCCTTCGAGGCCTTTTTCCCATTTTCTTGGATATTAACACTTGGCTCCCTTTTAGTCATGCTAATGTATTTAGAAAGTGGTTGCTCTGCAGCCCACTTGTATTCTTCTGCTGAAAATGCTTTTTCCTTCTTTACCACAATGCCAGGCTGCTGAGTTTCCAAGCTTTTAGGCTATGCTTCCCTTTTAATAACAAACTTCAACTTTAAGTCATTTCTTTGCTTCCATATCTGATTGTTACCTCTTGAACGCTTTGCTACTTAGAAATTTCTTCTGCCAGATACCCTAAGTCATCATTGTTAAGTTCAAACTTCCACAGATTCCTAGGATATGAACAGAATGCAGTCAAGCTCTTTGCTAAGGTATAACACAGGTTACCTTTACTCCAATTCCCAATAACGTCTTCATTTTCACCTGAGACCTCATCAGCCTGGCCTTTGCTGTCTCCATTTCTACCAGCATTTTGGTCACAACCATTTAACCAGTCTCTAAGATGTTCCAAACTTTTCCTTATCTCCCTTTCTTCTTCTGAGCCCTCCAAACTCTTCCAACCTCTGCCTGTTACCCAGTTCCAAAGCCACTTCTCTGTCTTCAGGTATCTTTACAGCAATGCCGTAGTCCTTGGTACCAATTTTCTGTGTTAGTCCATACTTGTGTTGCTCTAAAGAAATACCTGAGGCTGGGTAATTTATAAAGAAAAGAGGTTTATTTTGGATCATGGTTCTGCAGGCTGTTCAAGAAGTGTGGTGCTGGCATCTGCTTCTGGTGAGGGCCTCAGGAAGCTTACAGTCATGGTGGAAGATGAAGGGGGAGCAGGCATATCACATGGTGAGAAAGGAAGCAAGAGAGAGAAGGGAGAGGTCCTAGACTCCTTTAAGCAATCAGATCTCACATGAATTAACTAAGCAAGAACTCAGTCATTACCAAGGAGGTGACATTAAGCCATTCATGAAGGATCTGCCGCATGATCCAATATCTCCCACTAGGCCCTACCTTCAACATTGAGGATTACATTTTAACATGAGATTTGGAAGGGACACACACCCAAACCATATCAACTTCCAAAGTAATACATAAAGTTACATGGATTTAAAAACCTTAACACTTTCACAGATCAGTTTTCCTAAGTAATCAAAAACGTAAGGAAGACAACATAGGAAATTATCTTAATAAAACCTAAATTCTATTTTTTAAGGCCAGTTGCCAAAAAAGCACAGAGAAACCACCCATAATGAGATTGTTTCTCCTAATGGGAAGCCCATTTAGACAACCTGGAAGTTGAACCTGATGAAAAGAGTACTTGAATTTAATCAGACACAAGAAGAATACATGCCCAAGGTTATTAGTGTATATTATATTAGAGAAGAATGTAAACAAGAAAGCTAGTACATTAAGCAGGGGAATACATGGCTCTTAGAAAAAAGTAAAAGTGTGTCAAGTTCACTGGCTACATGAAAGAATTCAGACACATCATGAAAGCTATGAGTATGGAAGCAAGTTATACTGAAGGAAGACATTGCTTTTCTAGGTGTTGGAAGGTTTCAGCATCAGGCCATAACAGCAGAGTTGGAACTAGGAAAAAAAAATTATAGGAGCTGATGAAAAGGCTGAAAAAGAGAGTTATCATCCCAGCCAAACAAATATCTATATCATCTCTATCTCTATCTCTATCTCTATCTCTATCTCTATCTTTATCTCTATCTCTATCTCTATCTCTATCTCTATCTCTATCTCTATCTGCCTTTCTACGGGGAGAAAGAAGGATAGCCAAAGGCAATGATGCATGACCTGCAAATCATGTGAAGTGAGATATGGCAAGAGTTGAAACTCTGAGATATAAATCTGAGAAGCTTGAAAAAGAGAAATTTTACCTCAAGAAATGAAATTACCATTCTGAATGAAAAAGACAGCATTTCCACCCTAAAACAAGGAAAATTTAGTGGATCTCAGGAATAAATGTGCAGAAAGAGAAACTTTCAACAGTTTAGAAGATGTCTGTTAAAGAAACAGATTTCAGAATTAAAAATCAATACCTTTTGCAGTTTTACAAAAAACAAAAGAATACTTTAAGAAAACCTTGTCTGAACATAGGGAACCAAATTTTTCATTTTGTTTTAGTGTATTTTTAATATCAAAACTCAAGTTTTAGAAATACTTATAAATAATTTTTTCTAGATATAGCAACTTAATCATGCACATAATTACTTTCATAAATTCCTACTTCATAAACATTATCATTATGTGTTCAGACCATTTATGACATGCCTGGAATTTCTACATTCTATACTTCCTCTTACTAAATGACCAGTCATTTTAGTTTAGGATAAAAATTTCTCACATAAAATTATCTCTCATATAAAATTATTCTCTTTTCTTTTTAACCTTTATTATCAAAAATTCACTTTCATACCCATAACTTTATTTACGTCTCTTCCTTCTACTTCTGGTTCATTTGAGCCTTGTTTCTATTTCCTTCTTAAATGCATGTTTTGAAATGACCTTTAAATAACCTCCAAATTAGACAAAATTATTCTTTCTTTCTAAAAAAAAAAGGACATTTTTATGTGCTTATTATAATTTGTCTCATTAAAAACTTATTTTTTTGCACATCTAACATATAGAATTTTACATATATGTATGTTTGTATGTGTGTGTATATATACATATGCAAATTAGATTTTTAACCCTTTGCAACCCTAATTTTTAGCAAGCAATTTTGAACTCTCACATATCAGTATCTCATAGATAATAACCATTTTATAATTTATAGAAATTTGTTTCCCTATAACAAAATATTCATGCATATTAATAACCCAAATATATTTAACCTTTCTATGAAGTTTGAGAAGCCTAGAAGAAACTTATATTTATGTTCAGTAATTTCATTTTTTAATGTTATTTGGAAATAACTCAGACATTTAATGAGTATCTATTATTTAATTTAACACAATTTTAAGATTTCATGTTTATAGATAATTATCCCATTTACATTTACCTAATTTATTTAATATTTAACAGTTTACCTAGATTACTTATGAAAATTGAGATATTAGAAAAAGCTAGTCATCATTTCAAGTTATTTCCCTGTTAATAATTTTTATATACTGTGAATATCAGTTGTTTACCTAAGTAAGAAACTTAAAGTTAAATATATGGGTATTTTACCAATAACTAAGGAGATACAGCTATTTTTATTAAGCCAACAAAGTTAGATTAGTCTTATGCGTCAAAGAATTATACAAAGGTTATTCTGTTTTAGGCTGAGTTTATAGCTTTATAATCTTTGTGTCAAATGCTGACACCTAAAATTATCTATCAAACACAAATGTAAAACTATTAGCTAGTAAACCCAGGCAAAAATATATGTTGACAATTCTGAAAATATTTATATTTTCATTTCACTGACAATTATGATGGAGCTGTGGTAATCTGTACATCCATTAGCTTGAAAGCCCTTTAAGACTTTTGTATTTGCTGGAATGCCATAAATAATAAGTTTTATCTCAACACCAGTAGAAAAGTTAGATTTAAAGTAGGCAGAAGAAAAAAAATTAGAGAGCTAGAGAATTTAGCGGGCTCTACAGGTTAGCTCTATAGTTGCAGGTCTTTCAAAGAGTTCAAGTCAAGACCATTTAAGCTCTGAATTTTCCTTAATGTAATTTGCCCTTTAGTTTAAAAACTGTGTACAAGAACAGGCCATCATATATAGCTGACTGGAATCCCAGGAAACCTGGCACAGAGTAATGTTTGAGAATTCCATTTTGTTTCTTATTAATCTCTCCGGAGCAAAGAAAATTTGACAAATTCTTTTAAAGAGTGTCAGGAGTTTCCACCAGTGTTTTAGATGGTGACAACCACCCTAGTTGCTTTTAATTACTCATACTTCATCCATCATTTAGAATGTTTATTTTTTGTTCTTAGAAGATTTTCAGAAACAAGCACGAGAAGAGTCAAACCAAATCAAAATAAATTACAGTAAGAGTGTTCACAAAAATTTTATATGAGGTGTGCAGATCAACAAAATAAATTCACTAGAAAAGGCATTCCTCTCAGATAGAATGTAAATTCTGTAGAAACCAGAGTACTCAATCCAAAAGACAGTTGGTGTTATATTAGAAAGAACTTAACAGATAGGACAAAAAGTATTTTATCATCCTGGCAGGGATGTAAGATTCTTTATTTAAGATGACCTTATATCTAAACCAGATCCCAAATAGTGTCCAAAAACCTCTGCCAAAAAGAGAGACTCTCAGCCTGAGAGAATACTAACCAGGGCAGAAAAGGTGAGCCATGGCAGCAGAAGATAGCTTGAGGGGCTGAAGTGAGTACTGCATATCAGTCCCAAGAACCACCTGGTTTCCTTCTGATAGTGGTCTTACTACAAGTCCCATTTCTGACACCATTTATGTCAACCTGCACAACAAAGAGAGAGAGACTCTCTAAAATTTAAAAAAAAAATTGATTCAGGGGTAGAAGATTGCAATGGAAATACACATGACATAGTAATTATGTGAATATTCAGGAAGGTAAATAAAGACAAACATTTTTAAAGAAAAAATGAGGATTACATAATTGTTTTGAGATAATTATCTTTGGCTACAAAGATCAATAACAAAGGTGATGCCAGTTTAAGATGGAACAGGCAGTTGATGGGCAGATGTCCTTGCAGAAGTATTTTTTGTGTAAAGTTGTGATGGCCTTTATGCAAGCTTGTGTTTTTTGCAGAGTGACATGGTTAGGCTTGTGTCCCTACCCAATTTCATCTTGAATTGTAATCCTCATAATCCCAATAATCCCCACGTGTCAAGCATGAGACCAGGTGGAGGTAATTGAATCATGGGGGCAGATTCCTCCATGCTGTTCTCATGATAGTGAGTGAGTTCTCTCAAGATCTAATGGTTTTATAAGGGGCTCTTCCCCCTTGGCTCTGCACTTCTTCCTGCTGCCTCGTGAAGAAGGTGCCTTGCTTCTCCTTCACCTTCGGGCATGATTGTAAATTTCCTGAGGCTTTCACAGCCATGCTGAACTGTGAGTCAATTAAACCCCTTTCCTTTATAAATTACCCAGTCTCAGGCAGTTATTTATAGCAGTATGAAAACAAACTAATACACAGAGGCTTTCTGATACTTTTGTTATCACGCATAGGAGTATGAGAACCCTTTCTTCATAGTCTTCCCTGGCTCTATTTTTCAGGGAAAAAACAAACTACTTTTTTTTTTTTTTCTTAAAAAACAAACAAACAAAAAAACACTAGTGACTCCATTTTGATTCTGATAATTGTCACAAAGCCCAGAGGGGTGCTGTGGGGTGACTTTTTGCTCATCTGCCCAGACAAGCCAGGCAGCCATAGCTACTCTTAGTGTTGGCATCCACTTTATCCAGGACAGGGCAGACAGTTCCCCAATGCCACATCCCTCTGCACTTATTCTGGTGGAGCGTGAGCTCAGGGAATAGTCACTATCAGCAAATTATTGTCAACTAAACTCTTCTCACCACTCCTGGAATAATTCTCCTTCCTCTACAGCAAGGAGGACCTTTATCTTAAGGCCAGGAATCCATGGTTTTCTAAAAATCCAAGTATTTTAACAAGTGTGTTATCTTTACCAGAATCCTTTTCATTCATTGCAAGGCCTAAAGTTTAAAACTCAGGATCTGGGAAAGAATATGTTTTCTCTGTTCTATGCTTCTTTCCTATAGCAACAAATACAGGATGACCCAGTTACTAAATAAAGAAAGTGTCAATGAAAAAATGGGGATAGCAGGCAAAAAAAACCTAGCAAATATTTCAAAATATTGTAGTAATGACTGCAATGTATAACTAATAAATAATGTTACAAAAAACAGAACTAAAAATAGCGATCTTTATGTACTACCAGAAACCAGAAACCTTCCTTAAAGTAAGAACAATATCTAAGTTTCTAGTTATTTAAACCATTCTGATGTTAAGACATTTTCTTCAAAGATAAAATATCTCCTTCTTTACACATTTGAAACAATAACCTTAATTCTACCCATGAAGCTACAAAAGTTTAATTCCTTTTCCATCTTATTATAAGATTGTTGTTTTGCTCTAAGTTCACCAGTTGATAATAACCCTTTTATTTTTCTATTGTTTTCCATAATATTATAACAATATAAAATAATATGAAGTATATATAATAATATGACATTAAATTATAATAATATATAATTAATAATAAAAATTTCCAAATAGTAAATGTTGCATCCATTTCTCTGTTTTTTAGTTTTATTGTTATAATTAACAAATAACTCCCACAAAAAAATCAACTTAGACTCTGTGATGAACAAACTCTAGAGTGATATTTCCCACCTTGATGTGTCCATGCCTTTGTTTAATCCCCTCCACTTGAGTGTCGGTGGAACCTGTAACTTGCATCTAACCAATAAAAAAGGCAAAGGTAATGGCATGTCACTCTCATGATCAGGTAATATTATATGGCAATAGTAATGAGAAATCATGAACATAATTACATGATATAATATAAGATTCTGTCCCAACAAACTGGCATGGGAGACTCTCCTTGCTGACTTGATTTAGTTTTCATCCATGTGGTGGAAGCCCACATAGCAAGGAACTGTCAGTCTCAGCAGGCGATCAAAAAAAATCCTATGCTCTCAGTCACACAGTCATAAGGAAATGAATTCTGCCAACAACCTGAATAAGTTTGGAAATGACTCTTTCTATTTTCTCTAGTTATTTCTGCAGATGAGAATGCAGCCTGACTGACACCTTGGTTGCATCCTTGTGAGATCCTGAGCAAAGGACCCAACTAAGCTGTACTCAGGCTCTGAGCCCAAGGAAATTGTGAGATAAGTGGGTATTATTTTAAATCCCTAAGTTTATGACTTAATGCAGAAATAGAAAACTAAAACAGACCTTTACTGCACATCACACACAAAAATTAACTCAAAATGTATCATAGTTCTAAATGTAAGAGCTAAAAATATAAAACCTTTAGAAGAAAATCTTTATGATCTTTGGTTAGTCAAAGATTTCTTACATCTGACATCAAAAGCATGATCCATAAAAAAAGATTGGATTCTATCAACAGTAAAAGCATTCGTTCTTCAAAGTAATCATTAAGAAAGTGAAAATACAAGCCACAAAATTATAGAATATATTTATAAATCATTTTCCTGATAATCAACTTGAATCCAGAAAATATAAGACTTTTATGACTCAATTTAAAAAAAATTTTTAAATTTGGCAAAATATTTAAATAGACATTTCACTGAAGAATATAAATAGCTATTAATCACATGAGAGTAAGTTTAACATACTTAGCCATTAATAAAATGAAAATCAAAATACAACGAAATACAACTACATGTATAATATAATGGGCATTATAAAATTTACAATACCAAATATTCATAAGGATGTGGAAAATCTAAAAGCTTCATAAAATGACAGTATGATTGTAGTAATACACCAGAGTTGCTTTACAAAACAATAAGGAAGTTTTAAAAATAAATTAGCGTATGTTGCCATATGTAGTAGGTAGAATTAAAAACTGGTCCCCAAGATTTCTTGCCTGACACCCTCAGGATTGTTAATATAATGAAACATTGTAGCTGTAATTATATTAGGTTATAATATAAAAAGGGATTTTATGATTGTAAGTAAGGGCACTAATCAATTGACTTGAGGTCTAAGGAGGGTTATGAAGTTGGGCCCATTTTAATCACACAAGCCCTTTAAATGCAGAGCATTTCCTCCAGCTGGTAGAAAAGGGGAAATTCACAGAAATCTGAAACAAAAGAAGGATTTGATGCTCCATTGCTGTCTTGCCTGATAAATTATCTGGGTTGCCTCTAGAAGCTGAAAGCACCTCCCAGCAAGGAAATGAGAACCTCAGTTCTACAACTGCAAGGAACTGGATTTCACCAATACTTAACAATTGATCCTTGGGAAGTATTCTTCCCCAGAGTTTCCATTTGAGAGCCCAAATGGCCTATAACTTGACTTCAGCTTGTGAGACTCTAAGCAGAGAGCCCAGTTAAGCCTGCCTAGACTTCTGACATGCAGAATTATGGGAAAATAAATGGATGCTGTTTTTAATCACTAAGTTTGTGGTGATTTGTTATGCAGCAATGAAAAACTGATATGCCATATGGCCCAGCAATTCCACTCGTAGGGATCAACCCAAAAGATATAAATACCCATCTCCACACAGAGGCTTGCATATGAATGTTCATAGCAGCATTGTTTTTATTTGCCAAAAGTTGAAAACAATGCAAATGTCCATCAACTGGTGAGTGGAAACAAAATGTGATATATGCAGTGGAACAGTACTCAGAAAAGGAAAAGGAAACAACTAGTGATAAACAAAATAATGTGGGTATACCTCAAAGTATTATGTTAAGCAAAGTACAGACACAAAAGACTTCACGTTGTATGATTTTATTTAAATGAAATTTTGAGAACAATAAAATTATAAAGGCAGAAAGCATATCAGTGGTTTTCTGAGTTTTAGGGAAGAGAGAAGATGAAATACATACAGGTATGTGTGATATTTGAGAGACTATGAAAGTGTTCTTAAATTGAATTGTTGAGGTTTATTTCAATACCATATAAATTTACTGAAAATCATTGAAATATACACTTACAATAGGTTAAGTGTACAGAACATAAATCAAATGTAATAAAATTATAAAACAATGCAAAATAATATGAAGCCAAAGAAAACATGAGATTCCGCCACTCATTCTTCAGAATAACAATACCAAATATTTCTGAGGATGTGAAGCAAATGAAATTTTTATACATTATCAGTGGGAATATACATTAGTTATAACCACTTTGAAAATTTATTTAGGAATGTCTACTAAAGCTGAACAAAAACATACCCTGTGACTCAGTAATTATACTACAATGTATGTACCTAACAGTAATAAGTAAATATTTGCACCAAAAATATATGGAAAAATGTTCACAGCAGCTTTGTTCATAGACAAGAACTGGAAAAATCTATCAAAAATAAATTAGAGAAATATACTATTTATACTCATAAAATGGAAAACTATCTGACAATGAAAAAGGAATAAACATGTGTCACACAATAACTTGAACAAATCTAATAAACATGATGTTGAGCAAAAGAAAAGATTACACACAACATAGAACCTACCGTATGATTCATTAAACATGAATTTTTAAAACAGACAAATCTAAACTTCAGTATAGTAATCAAGAGGAACAGATGTGAGACTTCTGTGATGTTTACTATCTTCTATTTATTTTATCTGGAAGAGAATTACACAGGTATATACATTTGATAAAATTCAATGATGATTATATCTAAAATTTGGCACTTTACTGTGTGTAAATTATGTCTCAATAAACTATTGACAAAAATTATATCTTTTTTAGATCATAGAGAGAACTAGTTATAATAAAAACAAAATTAAGAAAAACAGTAAATATTAATTAAAAATTAAATGAATGACACATAAAATTCAACAGAAATTGTAGCCAAGGAATAATTTCAGAATGAGTCATGCATGAATATAATAAATAGACATATAAAACTTACAGATACAATAATATTTAGAGTAAAAATTGAAGATGTCTAGTGCCTAATATTTATATATTCCTACTATGCCATGTTAGGGATAAAATAACAGCCATAATGACGTAATAACCTCCCCACCATGCACTTCAAAAATGCAAGTAGCGTATAATATTAAATTAGAAAAATAAATTCATAGTGTGTATCTGGAGAGCAATCAGCTCATTATAAACTTCAACCAATTTATATGCTCATAATAATATAATGAATGCAAATAGATTTTTATTCAAAATATTAATTTTTTGCCTCACTTCTTTAACAGTTATATAGCTTACATTATCACTCGTATCACTCTAAGACTAAAAAATACATGTGTTCAGCTCTGTTTTGGTTTAATCAATCTGACTGATGAAAGAAAAAATTATGAAATTTATTCCAAGCTGGTTTGAGTTTACAATACATTAAAGTTTCACAAAAGGAGCTATAAATGTAAAATATTCTAGTTAATATTTAGTTTATTTGACATAATTGTCCAAATACAATGTTGCACATAATTATTACTATATATAAGAGGAATATTACAGTTTTAAGGTCTTAGGCACATATAAAACTGATTTTTAGAATAAAGAATATGATAGTAATAATAAATAGGTAAGAATTGTTGGCACTTAGTATGGGCCCTAAGCATTATATGTCAACTCTTTCATTTAATCTTCATAATAACCTTATGCGATAAGTATTCTTAACACCTCATTTAAGAGATGGGAAAAATGAAGAGTTAAGTTGCCCAAGGTCACCCACTAGAAAATAGCAGAGTTAAGAAGAGTTGATTGTTCTAGCTCCCAAGGAAATTCTATGACATGGAGTGACCTCGAGTTCATAAATATACCAAAAGAAACACAGTGTACTTTAGATTAAAATTATGAGATAGGCTGGGCACAGTGGCTCATGCCTGTAATCCTAGCACTTTGGGAGGCGGAGGCAGGAGAAATTCTTGAACCCAGGAGTTCGAGGCCACACTGAGCTATGATCATGCCACTAAATTCTAGTCTGGGCAACAGAGTAAGTACTTGTCTATGTATATGTATATTTCTATGCTACATATATGAAAAATATATATGAAATAAATGCAATGGATTAGTCTCTAATATACACATTAGTCTGATATACTAGAGATTAGTAATAAATGCAATATATTTATTTCATATATATTTTTTCATATATATAGCATATAAATATATGAAATAAATGCAATATATTAGTCAGTGCTGGCTTCACATTGCCAATTCTGTTGTAAGCCCCTAAACAAAGCCACACACATCTTTATGATGCCACAATCAAGACTACTAGAAAGATAGAGCCACTTATGCACCCCTTCTGTGATCCACTTGCCATGGCTTCTCCAGGGAACTAGCTGCCTGATCATAAAAGGGTATTTTTTAGCTCAGCTATAATGATCAATACTAAATCCACTTGCAACTTAAACAAAGGATTTCTAGGCCTTAATACAAAGCACTCCCATGCATTCACAGATCTCCAATACCAAATGAAATGGCAATAGTTCTGGTTCACCACCATTCCTTGGCTCAATGCAGTCCTTCTAGGGTGAATAAATGAAATGGGTTATAAGCTGAACCTCAGTGTAATATTAGTGAGCATGGCCTTTGAAATTATGAAAACCTGGGTTTACACTGTTGCCATGATAAATACTGTGTAACCTTGTGCAAACTCCTCTTTAGGGCCAACGTCTTCATCTGAAAATACACAAACTCTAGCTACCTTATAGAGTTGATGGAACCATAAATAAGATAGGAACCATAATGCTTAGCAAAGAGCCTGGCATAGCCATTACCTCAATTAATAGTAATCTCTAAGATAATCATATTACTTAATTGTATTACTTGCTAAGAACAGATTATGTTTAATTAGAATGCATTTATTTATATATTTACATTTTTATTTTACTTTTTTTGGAAAAGTAATATGTGCACACAGATTAAAAAATAGATAAAATATATAGTGAAAAAGAGGCCTCCCTCCATGGCTCTTTTTTTCCTGAAAATTGTTTTCTACAGTGATACCCACTTTATGAACTTTCAGAGAGAGTTAATGAATATACCAACATAAATGTAAACACTCCTTTAAATATAAATGATACCCATTACTGAACGTCTTAGGTTTTCCATTTAATTTTATATCTGAAGATCACTTAATATCAATGCTTTGGGGATTTTTGAGGTGGTCCAATAAAAAGCATGACTCAGCCAGGTGCGGTGGCTCACGCCTGTAATCTCAGCACTTTGGGAGGCCGAGGAGGGCAGATCACTAGGTCAGGAGTTTGAGACCAGTCCTGCTAACATGGGGAAACCCCATCTCTACTAAAAATACAAAAATTAGCTGGGTGTGGTGGCACGTGCCTGTAGTCCCAGCTACTCAGGAAGCTGAGGCAGGAGAATCGCATGAACCCAGGAGGTGGAGGCTGCAGTAAGCCGAGATCGTGCCACTGTACTCCAGCCTGGTGACAGAGTGAGACTCCGTCTCAAAAACAAAAAAAACAAAACAAAAATGACCCTTCTTCACTAGACTTCTTGACCAATTGAGATGTGACAGGGGTCACCAGTTGGAGAACCCAAAAACTGGTTTTAGTACTGATGAAGAACAGGTAAGAGGACTTAGCTTAAAATGAGAACCAAAGGGCTTGCTAATCCCCAGTTCCCCAGTAGAGACCTTGGAACAGCTGACTGGAGAAAAAGTTGAGTGCAGAGCAGACACACTACAACTTATTTCTCCCACTGTCTGAGTGGAGGCAGAAGGACTAAAAAGTCTGAGTTGCTGGATTGGTTCTACCAATTTGAGAAACATTAATCAATGCCTATCTCCCACTCAGCAGTTGCTGACATAACTAAACGTGGAGGAGTAAGTGTAAACCAAAACAATTTAGAACGTCTAGAATTTTTCATAAAGCTACTGAATATATTTACCTTTCATCTCTGAGTGACTGTTAGAGTAAAAGTTACTCTAACAATTGTGGGCTTTTACTAGAATCACTCACTTAATCCAGTGTTTATTGAATAATTCATGGGTTCAATGTAGACTGTTAAAGGGAAAATTCCCTACATATGGAAACTCTCAGTGAAGTGGAGAAATAGCATACCCCTCTATAAAAAGGACCTACAGATATAATATGTTCATTTAAAAGTATCACATAATACTCAATTGAATGAATATGCCATAATTTACTAAACCAGTTACATTTTTGGTTAGGTTAAGTTTTTTCTTCTGTTAACAATGCTATAATGAATATCATTGACCACAGGTTCTTATGTATATGCGAAAATATATGTATAGGATATATTCTTAAATATGGAAATACGGAGTATTTGATTGTGAAACTTTCATAGGTATTACCAAACTTCCCAGTGTAAGCAAAGTATGAAAATGTATTGTACAACTGCTCAGGTGTTGTGTGCACCAAGATCTCAGGAATCACTGCCAAAGAACTTATCCATGTAACAAAACACCACCTGTCCCCCCAAAACCTATGGAAACAAAAAATAAAAATTAAAATGTATTGTACAAAAAGGTACTCATTTCATCTTCATTAAGTAACTAAACCATAGTGTTAGTTTCTTGTAGATCACAAGGCAGGATTAAAAACCATCCATCTCTAATATCAATTCAGTGTTTCATCTTCTGAATAGAAACATGTCCTTGAGACAGAAAGAGGCAGTACTCCTTAGCACGCCTAGGTCACTCCTTAGCATGCCAAGAGAGCTCTTAAGGCTTCTGAGACATAAGTTTCCAGACCAGTCAACCTTCAGGCAACTCATTTACCCAGCATTCAATAATCTTTTGCATAAATGCAGCATCTTGTTTATTGAACCAAACAGCAGGATACCAAATCTGGCAAACACAACTAAAAGGGAAATGAAACAGCAGTGGGTCATGAGTAAAAATACACCAATGATTCTTCTGTAGACACAATTGTAGAAATTCTGTCTTTGTGAAAGCTTGTCAAGTCTTTGTTTTTTTTTTTTTTTCCAAAATATGACACATCTTTTTAAGAAGAAACTTAAAAAGAGAAATGATGGTAAGTGTTGCAGGCATAGATTTGTCAAACAAATGATGCATGCTAGATTTGACTTTTAAAAGAATGTTTCTCATAACATTTCAACAAATGCGGTATTTGGGAATAGGGTGAATATGTAAAAAAATTGTTCATTATTTTGTATAAATGCACTGTATAGGTCATACTTGTTTAATCCTAAACCATTTCTTGAAGTTTATTATCAAGTGCCATAGTCAATTATTCTAATTCTTTTTAATTCTAGAAATGCTGCTACATCTATGCACATGTGATCTAGAAACATAATAAAAATGACAGAATCTTTTAAAATCAGAGGCATTCATAATAAAAAATGCAAAAAGAAAAGATTCATTTTGGAATTCCCACTTATAGTAGGAGATCTGGCATTAATGTTGTTCTAATTACCTTTTCTTACCCTTCAATCCTAGGATTAGACAATACTATATAGCACTCTATTATTTCTATATTTCATTTTCTATTAAGTGTATCTAGCAAGATAATCTGCTATATTTGTTCATTTAATTATTTATTCATACAATCATATAATAGATATTTCTTGAGCTTCAATTATATAGTAGGAGGATTCTAGGAATAAAATGGTGAGTTAAAATAAGCATCGCACCTTCCTTGTCATCTACCAGAAGACAGACCTGTTTTAGAAGTCACAAATTAAATGTATAAATACAATCTTTAGTTCTATGAAGAAAAATATATGAAGGGGTAAGAGGAAACATAACATCAAGACCTGTTAGGAAGTTTCATTAGGATGTAATATGGTAACATGAAGGACAAATGTATATTAACTTGATGTAGAATGTACCAGGCTAACTGACGGCCCTGACAGACTCGTAAGGAAGGCAACATTACTGGAGGAGCAAGAGTGAGGGGCGATTGGTGAGGAGTAACACCAGAGTGTCTATTGAGGGGCAGATTTTTCACATCCTTGTATGCTATATTATGAGGCTTGTTCTCCTTCCTAAGAGCAAGGAAAAATAAAAGGGCTTTAAACAGAGAGATGGCATAATTTTGCTTGCACATTGAAAACCGTCACTCTGGGTATAGAATTCTAGTGAGAATTTGATTGAGGCATGAGAGGCTGTTGGGGACAGGAGACTGTTGCAGCAGCTCAGGCGGGCAATACCAGTGGTTTGAACTGGAGTGCTAGCAGTGGAGATGGAGAGACTGAGACAGATCATAGAGATTCTTTGAAGTAACACTGGTAGAACTTGGGTGAGCAGATAGGTGGGGTAAGGGAGAATATCAAGGCTGACGGGTGGGAAACTGAATAATAGTTCTCCAAGAATGAAGGCAAAGAGTAGGTGTGTGGAGTTTTTATATTGGGCTTTTCAAGACTGAGCTGCTTTTCAGACATTTTTCTTGTTGACTTGTATGATTTATTTAATTTTCATCTTCATTTAAGAAAGAGCTTAGTGAGTCCTTTCAGTTAAGATGTCAAGAGGTCCTGGCTCCATCTAGTAAGTTTTCAATGCTCTTGAGCAGGGTGTCAAAATGGCATGAGAAGAGAAGACCTCTGAGGATAAATATCTGCAAACCAATGGCAATGGCAGTAGGGGCAGGGCTCCGTCAAGCATGACACCCCAGCTGGACTGGAGAAGAGAAGCAGGTGAAACCGAATTAGAGGTATAATGGGAGAGTGGTTTTGCCAAAATTATATATACCTAGGTCAAAATGTGTGATATTCACATTTAGACTCAAGCTGAAGAATTCCAAAAAGTTATGCCTGTGGCATCACAGAGTTTGCATTATTGCAGCAATATTTGGAAATTAAGACTTTATCATTTATCCTATGACTGAATAACTTGGTGACTGAAAGTATCAAAGTAGAGCAAACATACATGTTTACAGCATTGCTCTAGAGGCCATCAATGCTTTAATAATCTAATATCTTCAATTTGTGCATAAGGACTTTTGAAAACTTCCCTGCTATGACCAAATTAAATAATTCAATTATCTAATAAAGATATATACATTTATTTTATTCCATTGGAAATATCTTTTATTCTGAACTCCAAGCATAAAAATATTTCATATTTTTTGAGAGTAAAAATTGACTACTCTTAGGGAGAAAAAGGCACTACATACAAATTTTAAAATCCTGCAATTAAAGACAAGTAAACTTTCAGTAAATTTTCCAAGGGCAATTTTAATAAAAACTTGTAAATCATATTTGAATAGAAATTTAAACGGTAGAGTCATATATTCAGGTATTTAAAAATAGCTGACACAACAGAGCAGCGCCAAAATGAGTAGCTTAATAAAATAAGGTCTTAATTCCTGCTCCTGTCAAGTGTGTCAAAGGCCAGGCGACCCTCTTCAATAGAAATACTATGCCATGCAGAGCATGTGGTCACTGAGGTTTCCATGGAAGTGGGAGAGAACGGTAGAGGCAGCTCACTAACTCTAAAATGCCTTAGCTCAGAAGAGATAGATGTCATTGCGCTTACAATGCACAGTCCAGAATTAGTCATGTAAACCCAACAAAACTGCAAGGGAGGCTGAGAAATGTGGGGAATTTATAGATAGTTGGTGAGTACTAGCTGCCTGACACAAGTGATCTTCAACATGATAATTCTTCCATGTGTATTCAGATGTCTTTATATTTTGATCTGGAATAGTTGTTTACTTTCAATTCCAGTCTACTGAAGCACTTCATACAATATAGCAAAATACCTATGGTTCTCCTACCTCCAATATCTTTGTCTGAAATGGCAGCTTAGCCACGGTACCATAGTTTTTCAGGAGTATTCATAATGGTGACTGTAAGAACCTGGAATTAACAGGTTTACTACAATATTTAGCCAAAAATTCTGCCAAGGAGTTCAGGTGATAGTCAAATGCTTCCCAAAATATTTGTTTAAAGACAGGCCTCCCTTTTCTCTATAAAGAAAATATAATTTGTGCTCAAATATCAATCATGTGTATTCCACTTCCAATAATGGTCAAGTAAACTCATACTAGGCTGATCCTTCTCAGGAAACAACTATACATTCTGGAGTAATTATAAAAACAACTACAGAAGTTACTAGAGAGGAAATTTTAAAAAAGGAGGATGAGGAGGAGGAGGGGGAAGAAGCAGCAAATTTGGGATGGGGAGTCAGTACTTGGAAAAAGGGAGCAGCATGGGACATATTTTCCTTTTAGGGGGCTTCTACACTGAGGGACCTTCACAGCCTGTGCCTGGTAAGGTGTTTAAAAATGTGATAGAAAACCTACCAAACTTCTGAGCTAAAGAACCAGAAGACAGAGTTTGGGACAATCACAGCCATTGAAAGATCAAAGGCAGGTCCCAGAAAGAAGAAAGGCAGAGAGAGGAAGCTCCAAATTCTGTAAACAAAGCCTAAACTCTTGGCTTACACCTAAACTATTTATGTGTGCGGCATCATGTGTGCGGCAGACCCCAAGCACTACAGATAAAGCTGGAAGAACTGAACTGAGATACATACTACTGACCAAGAGAGAGTTTGCAAAAAACAACCTAGTTAATTGCTGAAACAAACAAAAAATAGTTAACACTTCTTGAGGGATATAATGGAACCCAAAGTCTTCACAAGTTAACATTAACAAGTTCAAGTTAATCAGCTTACAAAGAAATAAGAAAACACAACCCATTCTCAACAGAAAAGACAACTAACAATGACCCAAGATGATCCAGATGTTAGAACAGGGAGTTAAAAGCAATTATTACAACAATGCCATAAGGACATAAAAGAAACTATAATTGCAGGGAACTAAAAGTAGGAAATATACACAGAAAACTAACACAAGAACAGAAAACCAAACACCGCATGTTCTCACTCATAAGTGGGAGTTGAACAATGAGAACACATGGACAGAGCAGGAGAACATCACACACCAGGGCCTGGGGGTGGGGTTCTAGGGGAGGGATAGCATGAGGAGAAATACCTAAGGTAGATGACGGGTTGATGGGTGCAGCAGACCACCATGGCACACGTATATACTATGTAACAAACCTGCACATTCTGCACATGTATCCCAGAACTTAAAGTACAACAACAAAAAAAAGAAACATCAAATTTCTTAAACTGAAAAATATAACAAAAATAAAATATTCAAATAATTAATTTATTAGAGGAATAAAGATAACAAAGGAAAGCTTGTGAACATTTGATGATACACCAATAGAAATTATTCAATCTGAAAAGGATACAGAAAAAAGAGTTTAAAAATAAAAGATTTAAAAGCTCTTCACTGACTGGTAAGAAATATTAGTCACTGAGATGCGATTGGAGTCCCCAAAGGAAAAGCAGTAAAGAATAAAGCATGAAACATTTTTTGGAGAAATGAGAGCCAAAAATCCCAAAATTTGGTGAATGATAGGCATTTACACATTCAAGAATTTCCACAAACATCAAACAGAATAAATAATAACTAGTCACATTATAATCAAACTTCTGAAAAACAATGATGAAGAGAAAATTTTAAAAGACATCAGAGAAAATGACACATTAAGAGCATCATTAAAAATGACACTGCAAAATAACAATCTTTCAAATGGTTGTAGAATTCTCATGAAAAACAATAGAGGCCAAAAGATAGTGGGCCAATACTTTTAAAGTGCTGGAAGAAAAGTTATGAACCTAAAATCTAATCTATACCCTTGTGAAAATAGTTTTAAAAAATGAAAGCAGATAAAAGACATTTTCGGATAAAAGAAAACAGATTTTTTTGGTCTCTAGCACATAGTTGCTCTGTGTAAACACATACATATATTGGAAATAAATTGATGGGAAAAGATATACCATACAAACAGTAAGCTGGAGGAGGTCAGAATATGTATAGCAAAATGAGATACAGTGAAAAATATCAAGTTAAGATTATTACCAAAGATGAAGAGAAATACTTCATAATGATAAAAATAGTAATTTATAAAAATGTAATTTTAAATGAGTATATATCTAATAGAAATTGAAAGTTCATGAGGCAAAATTGACAGAAGTTAAATAAATAGATAAATTCATATTAAGAATTACAGATTTTATTGATACTCTTCAGAAATTGATAGAACTACACAAAAAATTAGGAAAGATATAGAAGATCTGAACATTGTTAACCATGTTGACCTAATTGATATTTGTAGAACTGTACACCCAATAACAAAGAATGCTCATTTTTTGCAAGTGCACATGGTAATTTCACCAAGACAGGTCATATATTGGGCCAAGAAGAGTCTCCAGAGACTAAAAGAGTAAAAAAATTATTCAGGATATATTCACTGATCACAGTGGAATAAAATTAGAAATCAATGGCAATCCAAGCTCTAAGAAACCCCACATCTTTGGAAATTAAACAACTTCTACAAAATCCATGGATCAAAAAAGAAATTAAATATATTTAATTTTTCTAAACTAAATGAAAATAAAAACACAACATACCAAAATTTTCTTGGGCAGTGAAAGCAGTGCTCACCAAAATATTTATGTCTTTAAAGGATTAGAAAACGAATACAGTATATTAGTGACCAAAGTAAATTGAAGGAAATAAAAAGTAGAAACTAATGACATAGAAAACTAGCAATAGAAAAAATGAACAAATCTCAAAATTGGTTATTTGAAAAGATCAATAAATTAGACCAACCTTTGGATAGATTTATCAAAAAGAGAGAGAAGAAACACAAATTACAGATATTAAGAAAGTGGAATTTTATCAATCCTACAAATATTAAAATCAGTTTAAGGCAATATCATGAACACAGTTTTGCCACCAAATTTGATCATTTAGATGAAATGAAAAATAAAACTTACAAAAATTGACACAAGAATATCTGAATAACTTTACAACTACTAAAGATAATTTGTTTTCAAAAACCTTCCCACAAAGAAAACTCCAGGCCCATATGGTTTTAATGGGGACTTCTATAAAACAAACAAAATCATGCCTTTCTTGCTCCTTCAGAACATAGAGGAAGGAAAGGTCCTCAACTCATTTTAAGAGGCTAGCATAAACCTAGTAGTGGAACCTGATAAGGAACATAACATACCAATAACCCTCATGAAAATAGATGCACAAATTTTTAGAAAATAATAGCAAATTAAGGCCAGGCACGGCGGCTCATGCCTGTAATCCCAGCACTTTGGGAGGCCGAGGCGGGCAGATCACGAGGTCAGGAGATCGAGACCATCCTGGCTAACACGGTGAAACCCCGTCTCTACTAAAAAAACACGAAAAATTAGCCGGGCGTGGTGGCAGGTGCCTGTAGTCCCAGCTACTTGGGAGGCTGAGGCAGGAGAATGGCGTGAACCCGGGAGGCGGAGCTTGCAGTGAGCCGAAATCGCGTCACTGCACTCCAGCCTGGGCACAGAGCGAGACTCCATCTCAAAAGAAAAGAAAAGAAAAGAAAATAATAGCAAATTAAATCCAATAATAAATAAAGTATTAGCACTATTCATATATGTGTTCTTTACAGTTTATTCACTTATTTGACAAATATTTACCAAAAACAGAACATTAAACCAGAAACTTGCTATAGAGAGGAGCATCTGTAGTTTTACTCACAGATGTGAAATTCCTTAAGCACCATTTCCTCCTTAACCTACTTGACCTGTTTGGGTGTAAAGAAAATGTCAGCACTTCTTAAATGATGCAATTTGACAAAGGTCTCCACTTTCATTCTCTCCTTCTACTCGAACCCACATATGTGTTGGTCATATCTAGGGCTTCACTTTAACAGGGGGTTTTCTTTTTTTGAAGAGGATAAGTAATCTTGTAGCATGCTTTACCACCAGGCTTTTTAAGAGGTATATTCAAAGTTTTGTTATACTCAAAGATGTTAAAATTGAGCCTTGTTCTCACAAAAATATTCTACACCACATGATGTATTTTCTGGATGGATGGAGCAGAGATACCTCCACTTCAAATATCTTTCCTTGTAAGAAAAATTGGTAGAATTTGTGTTTTATCATATTTGTAAATAGAGTTAAAAAGCAGAAGATACATAAGCTCAAAAATACTTCCTTTTCTTTAATTTTCCAGTCAAAAAGCCAGGCTTAATCTAAACAAAGATACACAATCGTAATAATAATGGACAACAAAGTTTAGTTTCCCAATTTGAAACTGTTATTATAAAGTATCCTAAGAGTGGTGGTAATTATTCCTCGTTTAATTATAAACAAATATTTCATGGCACTCTGTAATTTTTTAAAAGAGAAACCATATGTGAATGTCACAATGTATTACATATTATTTTTCTTTTTTATTGTATTCTTCCTATTTTTTTGTTTTGTTTTCTTATAGGTATGCACATTTTGTTGTCTGTTTCCAGGAAGAAATTTTTTATTGAAACCTGACTGGACAATTCCCATATCCCACTCTGCTACCCAGATTTTCAAAAATTATTCATGATTCATAGGCCCAAGATTAATATCTGGTCTAAAAAATTCTGCACTGACATAGGGACCTTGTTAAATTAAATGATGATTCAGTAGCAAAGAGAAACGTAATGATCCAGTGAAAGAATCTAAGTTAAAAGTCTGAGACGTGAACTTGCCAGATGTGGCTTCCAAGTCTCAGATGTATTTCTTCACCTATGTTCTGAGCATGCTCAGTACAGTAAGCATAATAGCTGTCAAGGGATGTAAAATAATTTCCTTTTTTTAATACACTGATATTCAGCTACCTCAGAGAAAATTAGATTTTCTTCAGCCTGTCTCTAAGATTCAATGCCAGCAGCTCTTTTTTTTTTTTTTTTAAACAAAGTGAGGGAGGTGACCAGAAGGCTCACCATTAGTCCCTCACATCAAGAAATCTGTATCAACCCCAGCACTTCTGACACCTTTGTCTGCAGCCACCATTGTTTTTAATCCGACCAAGACTTCACTCTTCTCCTTACAGGTCCCAACCCTGGTCATACAAATGTTTTCTTCCTGTTTACCCAAGGATTTCACTACCCCTTCCTGCCTTGCAATATTGGAAGTACATACATGGACAGTTGGTAAGTATAAGGCTGTCCCTAAAATGGTAGCATTTTATCTGAGATATGTCAATTTATCTGTTAACTGGCCATATATAACAATGCTTCAGACAATGTCATTCAATGTGATTCTTTTGAGCTTAGCTTTATTAAGTTGAAAGAGGAAAAAATAATAAATGCTTTTTCAAGAAAGGAAAAGTGGCATTTGAGGGCCCATTTAGCAGTGGTATCCATTTGAAAACATTATTATTAATGGCTAGTGAATCCTGTTCATGGAGATAGGGTTTGCAGCCCTCGTTTTGAAATCAGTCCTCTGTGTCTGAGGGTGGTCATTCATCACAGGTGGGAAGGCAACTACTCTTTCTATCCAGCTGCAGCCAACGAGACCTTCCAATACTTCCTTCATTCAACCTCCCAGTTTTACTAAATTACTGATTTCACTCAGCATATCCAAGACTGAATTTTTAAGGAGAAAAAAATACAAAATGGAAGAGAGTAAAAACAAACATTATTTGTTTAAACAAAATAATGATACTACAAAGTACAATAACTTTCCTCAAGTCTGAGTTCTGGAAATAACCTTTAAGTGGCTGATGGATTATGCTTTTTTTAAATGCAGCTTAAAATGAATAAATAGTTTTCTATTATAACTGAACTGAACTTCTAAATCTATTCAATCTAAACACCCTTCATGCTTGGGAAGTAAGCAGAAAAACATGTTGCATTTAAAATAAGCATTTACTGAGTATTTCCTTCATGAGCATCAAGTAATTTGAATTGAGAAGTCACTGGATGCACAGCATAGTATTAAGCATTTGACAAGGGTAATTCATCAACAAAACTGCCACGTTTTCTCCCAAGGAACTTAGATTACAAGATGAGCAACACTGAATTGATGGGCATGCATACAAAGTTTTCTTCTTTGTTTCTCATTCAGAACAGGCAACAAAAGCTGTAGTATTTCTCCCATGTGTTCTAGCATTGGTTGGATTAAAAAAAAACTGACCATTGTCATATTTTACCACTTTGGGACTATTTGATCTAACACACACATTTTATCATTGCTCACCTCTGCTTGTTACCCTCTGAGTATTCCCAATGCCTTTTAGAAAGCCTTTTGGAGAATTCCCAAGATGCTTGTTGTTGGGAGCAGAGTTTGTCATAACCAATCCTTGCTTCATTTCTCTTGCTGCACTTGACCCTTCATCCCCTACAGTCAAAAGGTAGGAAACATCTTACACCTCCATGTGCCCTGCAGCTTCCTGTCACTCTGTTCTATTCATGGTGTTTCTTTTGCCAGGAAAGTGACTCCCTTCCCTTTTCTTCCTGACAATTACAGCCTCATCCTGCAGCATTGAAGTGCTTCCTTACACAGCCTCTTACATGGGATATTCTCTTTTGTACTAGTTAATGTACCCAATATGTATGTTCATTATTGCATTGGTGATAATTCTTATTTTTGTGTTTGTATTTGCCTTTGTTTTCAGCCCTGTTTCCCTTGTTAGAATGTTGGCATATTTTATGCCTGATATAAGTGTTAATAAATTTTTTATGAATTCATTAATGCATTAATTTTATAAGAATTTTATAGCTGGGGAACACAAAGATGAAGAATTATTAATTTGTTTTAAAAGGCATGCTATAAGCTTAACTTGCATTTATAAATATTTATTAAATTCCTCCTTATACATGCTTAAATATTATAGAATTTTCAATAGGGAAGTCACACAATCAGTTTTAAATTTTTCAGGGGCAATAGAGTTCATTACATTTCCCTTCCCAATTATCTCCCAGACATTATATAAGGTGCTAGAAATATAGTGGTGACTAAGACATGGTCTGTTGCAGCATGGTGATAATAGTAGAGTAATAGGTACAGACCCCCAACAGGTAATTGAAATATCATATGATAAGAGTTTTAGACAACATGTTAACTTATTCTGCATCACAAGCCACTCTCAAATTTAGTGTTTTAAGTAATCATTTACTAACTCATAATTCTGTGGGTTGCCTGTTTGGTTCTCGTGACTTGGATGGACCTAAATAACTTCTTCAGAAGTCCCTTATATATTTAGTTAGGAAAGTGGCTGGCAACTCAGTGTCCTAGCAGAGCCTCACTCAGATGTCTAGTGGTTGGCAGGGGCATGTAGGGAAACAGTGGTGGCTGGCTAAGTTTTACTCATCAAACAGGCTGGCCATAACTTCTTTACACAGAGGATAAAGAGATCAATGGTTAGGAAAAGATCGATTTTCAACTCACAATCACTGCTAAGTCAAGTTTGCTAATGTCCCATTTGCTGAAGTAAGTCACATGCGAATACAAATAAGTCACATTCCCAAGTCACTGTAGGAGTGAACTACCAAGGATCATGGCTACTGCGAAAGGAATTTTAGCAGCCATTCTGCAAACAATCTGGCCTAATTTCACTCTGCCCACAAAAAATTCATATCCCTCCCACATCACAAATATAGTCATGCTCTGCATAATGGCACTTTGGTCAACGACAGACTACATTTACGACAGTGGTCCCACAAGATTATAATGCTATATTTTCACTGTTGCCTTCGATGTTTAGATATCTTTAGATACATAAATATCATCATGTTAGAATTGCCTACAGTATTCAGTGCAGTAAACATGTTGTAAAGGTTTTAGCCTAGAAGCAATAGGCTCTACATACAGTCTTGGTGTGTAGCAGACTCTATCATCTAGGTGTATGTAAGTATACTCTGCAATTTTCACAGAACAACAAAATAGCCTAATATATTTCTCAAAAAGTATTCCCATCGTTAAGATAGAGGACTCTGCTTGTACCCTCTCCCAAAACTACCAGAAACTTCATAAAATTACAGTATCAGGCTTAAAGTCTAGTACCTTCTGATCCATATCAGGCGGGAATGAACAACTCTGCTGCAACTCCTCTTGATCAAAGCATATCAACTAAAAAGATAAGCTATTCGATTCTCAATTCACCCAAAATAAAATATTGAGACAGAGTCAGAGCAACTGAAAAAAACACTTCTATTCATAAAGAGAGAGGACAAAAAAAAACCGTAATAATCATTGGTCCATAACAATTCTGAAACCTGGCAGGGCAAATGTTGCCTGAAACCCTACACCAAGGATTAGAAAATATTTATTGACTAGAATGCTGTTCTACTCACTGGAGAGGATCCCTAGACATTTTCCTCCCTGATTCTTCGCTATGGTCCCTGGACTTTTAGATCCTTCCTCCAAGGCACTCTTATTTTTCTGTAAAAAATAAATTGCCCAGGTTGACAGTTCAGTTGCTTTCTAAGTCTTCTTCCAATAGAAATTTGGTAGTCCAGAGCCTTCTATTTATTTATTCATTTTACCTTATAATTTAGATCAGGAATACATGTGTAGGTTTGTTACATAGGTAAATTGTATGTCAGGGGATTTGATATGCAGGTTATTTTGTCACCCAGGTGATACACATAGTACTCAATAGATAGTTTTTTGATCCTCATCCTTCTCCTTCCCGCTACCCTAAAGTAGGCCTCAGTGTCTATTGTTCCTTTCTTTGTGACCATATGTACTCAATGTTTAGCTCCTGTTTATAAGTGATAACATGTGGTATTTGTTTTCCTGTTCCTGTCTTAGTTCACTTAGAATACTGGCCTCCAGCTCTACCCGTACTCCTGCAAAGGACATGATTTATTCCCTTTTATGGCTGCATAGTATTCCATGGTGTATGTGTACCACATTTTCTTTATCCAGTCTACCTTGATAGGCAAGTAGGTTGATTCCATATATTTACTATTGTGAATAGAGCTGCAATGAACATACTCATGCATGTGTCTTTATGGTAGGACAATTTATATTCCTTTGGTATATACCCAGTAATGGGATTGCTAGGTCCAATGGTAATTCTGCTTTGAGTTCTTTGAAAAACCACCACATTGTTTTCCACAGTGACTGAACTAATTTACATTATTACCAGCAGCGTATAAATATTCCCTTTTCTCCACAACCTCACCAGCATCTGTTATTTTTTTGACTTTTGATAATCGCCATTCTGACTAGTGTGAGATGGAATTTCACATAGTTTTGATTTGCGTTTCTTTAATGACTAGTGATATTGAGCATTTTTAATATGCTTATTGGCAATGTGTATGTCTTCTTTTAAAAAGTGTCTGTTCAAGTCCATTGCCCACTTTTTAATGGAGTTGTTTGTTTTTTGCTTGTTAAGTTCCTTATAGAGACCTCTATTTTACTTGAACTGTCTCAAGGTTTTGTTTGTTTGTTTTTGTTTTCTGGGTTAGCTGCCCTTTGCTGATTTAACTCCCTTAACAAGGTTATGGGCTTTCTATATATCATTTAACAAAAGTCATATCCACAATTATTTTCAAAACCGGCCTCTCTCTGCTTTGGGCAGTTTGTCAAGCTGCTATGAGGCAATGCTATTAAGGGTTTTAGAAGTTCTTTTGTCTAGTGGAGAAAGTCCACCAGATATCACCATAAATTTTTCTTAAGTCCTTGATTTCATCTTGACATAGAATAAATGTTTTACTGGAAGTGCCCTGATCTTGATTAACACCCTCAGGTTTTAATTTAGTCTGAGAATCTTTTCTTGGCTAGATAGACCTCATATAAGAAACAGTTATGTTCCCAATCCAGTACACCCTGGCTCCTCTCTATTCCATATGAGCTCTGCTTGCAAACTGATCAGTTCTTTCTTTAGCTTATCTCTCTTTTCCTATAACTTATCACAGAAAACTAAAAGAAGCCAATAAAATTTTAAAGTGTTCCTGAAAATTATCTTTCCAAGATCCACATTTTTCATCTCCCAAATTACTCTAGGCAACAGTTTTATCATTGTTTTGTAATCTTACATAACATGTATCACAATCTTTTCATCCTCCATTAATAATTTGCTTGCCCGTTTTCCAGATTTCACAAAACGTCTTAAAACTTCTGCCCACTGAATGATTCTAAAGTTAATTTCACATGTTTGGTTTTGTTGTTATGGAAGCACTCAAGTCTAGGTATCACTTTCTCTGTCAGTTAGTTTTTGCTACAAAGCAAATCACCCCCAAATGTAGTCACTCGAAATAACAAGCATTTCTTTAGCTCACTATTCTGAAGGTTGCTCAGGTGGTTCTTCTGATCTGTGATAACTAAGCTTATCTCTACTGAGTTCTCTCAAGCACTGCATTCAGATGCCAAGGTGGCTGGTGGCTGTATTATCAAGGATGGCCTTTCACATATCTGGGAGTTGACTGGGGCTTAGTTTTTCAGACATAGCAGCAGAATTCCAAGAAGAGAAACAGGGTGAGCCTCAATGTGCAAACACTTTCAGCATATGTGTCCATCAAGTTTGCAAATGTTCCATTTGCCAGTAAGTCTCCTGGGCAATCCCACAGACAGTATGAGAAGATACAACAAAAAGGTATAAATACAAGACAATAAAGTGTCATAGCGACATTTGCAAAAGTCTTCCATAAACTGTGAGAAGATTGCATGTGGAAAAGAAAGAATAATTGATTACTTATTAGAGTAAGACCAAATCCAAGCCACATAAGCTTTCAGAATACAAATCCTGAGATCTAAATCTAGAGAAATAGATAAAGGTAGCACAGCAGCCTGGAGTCAGCAAGCTTCTATAGACACTCAATTTAATAGACCTCAAACTACCACTTACGCGCACAACGTATCAGCTAGAGACATGTCAATCAGAAAGCAACTCCTGCCCAGACTACCTTCATTTTATGCATCTGCAAATCCTATCATTAATGCATTTGGGATACTAGAGTGTTCATTCCAGTGGGTCACTTTTCTGAGGCATTTTATTTTATTGGTCAGCCATTTTTATGGGTAACTCAGGCTCCTAAACAAGCTCTGATCTCTTGGGTTTCCTCCACTCAAGAAGTCTACAGGCACAGGATTTCTCCCTTCTTCATCTGAACTCTTCTGAAGAGGTCAGCACCTTGTGCTACCCAGTCTTTACCTTTCAGGATTTAGCCTTGATGTAAAAGGTGCCTAAGCATTTAGAGAGAATTCCTTCCTGCTTCTCTGGGAATTTCTATCAAGATATTTGTAAACATGAACCTACACCCTATTACTTTTACCTGCACTCAGCCAACCATAATCAATTTCTAAGATGTCCGTACAAACATGTATTGGGTACTCACTATATGTGAGGTAGAGACCTGGGCCCAATTACGAATATGGTGATAAAATTTAGAAGGAATGGCATAGGATGACAGTGGAAATTTGGGTCTTTTGCTGAGAAGAGAAATTGGACTCAAGAATGAAATCATTGTAAAATATTTATGTGTAAGAGCCTGAGAATAATATGTTTATTTTTCAGAACATATTGAGGGAAACAGCAAATTCTCAGACAATTTGATCATGTTTTAATTTTCTTTGAAATAAAAAGAAGAATAAAATAAAATGGCATTATTTCTTTCATTCCATTCAGCTCAAGAGAAGGAATTGAGCTGAAACAAGAACCAGGAGGAATGTGGAATAAACTCCTAAATAAGAGCGAAAAGGTAAAAAAAAAGAAGAAAGATAAAAGATGTTCACTAACAAGGGAAAAGAGAAAAGATATTTACTATCACTCAGAATCTTTTACAGAGCTTGGCATAAGTAAGTGCCAGTATTAATTATTAATTAATTGTTCAGTGGAGGAATTTGAGGCCATTTAACTCCTGAACCACAACCCTGTCATCAACTAAACTGGGTTCTGAAGTTCTTCATCCTATTTACTCTCCAGGTTACATGGCAAAAAAGCAAATTAAGAACTCAGGGATAGGTCATGGCTATATTCTGGTTCATCCAGAGAAACAAAGTTCACTCTAGTTATTGAAGTTTTGTAAACAGCATGCGCTAAGCGAAGCAATTGTTCAAGATTTGTGTTACAGCTTTTCCAAGAAAGATTTGATAAAGTCATCTTAACAATATAGCCTGGATGACTTAAATCTAGCACCATGGTGGACGATCTATTATATCTAGTGACAGCCTCATATATCCAGTGACTTTAATGTCAGTGTTACTTTATGTCCCTTTTAGAAATTAGATTACTTCCCCTGGGTGAACTTAAGAGTTCAGGGCCTTAGAAAAAATAGGATAAAAACAACATTTAGTATCTTTTTTATGTGTTTGAGGTGGGCATATTATAGAATATTTGAATATATTAATTCTTTTTTGCTTGGATCAACTGCCATGTTTCAGACAGTAACCTAAATTCTGCATGTACAAAGAGTAATAATCTGTGAGCCCTTGATATGGTTTGGCTCTGTGTCCCCATGCAAATCTCAACTTGAATTGTACTCCCATAATTCCGACGTGTTGTGGGAGGGACCTGGTGGGAGATCATTTGAATCATGGGGTGGTTTCCTCCATACTGTTTTCATGGTATTAAATAAGTCTCACAAGATCTGATGGTTGGATCAGGGCTTTCCGCTTTTGCATCTTCCTCATTTTCTCTTGCAGGCATCATGTAAAAAGTGCCCTTCACCTCCCACCATGATTCTGTGGCCTCCCCAGCCATGTGAAACTATAAGTCCAATTAAGGCTCTTTTTCTTCCCAGTCTCGGGTATGTCTTTATCAGCAGTGTGAAAATGGACTAATACAGCCCTGTTTCAAATAACTTATATTCTGAACGGGGGAGGGGGATAAGCACCTAAACCAATAAGTACATCACAAATAAGGCCTATTGTGGGGTGGGGGGAGGGGGGAGGGGGGAGGGATAGCATTAGGAGATATACCTAATGTTAAATGACGAGTTAATGGGTGCAGCACACCAACATGGCACATGTATACATATGTAACAAACCTGCACATTGTGCACATGTACCCTTAAACTTAAAGTATAAAAAAAAAATTTCTAGAAGGAAGAATGAATTCAGTGGTATAGGAGAATTGAGGAGGAAATGATGAATTATAAAACTGGATGATAAACAATGGAACACTTTTCATCCATAAAAAGAATGAAATCCTGTAATTTGCAGCAACATGGATGGAAGTGGAGGTCATTATATTAAGTGAAATAAGCCAGGCACAGAAAGACAAATATTTCATGTTCTCACTTATATGTGGGAGTTAAAACAGTAGATCTTCTGGAGGGAGAGGGTAGAATGATGCTTACCAGAGGCTAGGAAGAGTCTGAGGAAAGGGGGATGAAGAGGGGCTGGGTTAATGGGTACAAACACAGTTGGATAGAAGAAAGAAGTTCTAATGTTTGATAACACTGTAGGGTGACTAGAGTTAGCCATAATAATTTATTATATATTTCAAAATAGCTAGAAGAGAAGATTTAAAATGTTTCCAACACAAATGAATAATAAATTTTTGAGGTGATAGGTATTCTGAATACCCTGATTTGATCATTACATATTGATTATATGCATGTATCAAAATTTCACGTGTCCCATAAATGTGCACAACTATTATATATCCATTTAAAAACGTATATGCTAACAACATAAAACTAAAAGACTGAGGTAGAATAGGAGGTGCTAGAAAATATGACTGGGATCAATATAAAGTGTAAACTTCAATTGGCCTTAATTTTTTAATTATCTATATTACTTTCAAACACTATAAAAACAAAAGTTAACATTATCAATACAGTTTTTGGATGATCTAATTACAAGACATATTTTTAAAAATATAATCAGTATCAGTGACTTCTTAGCCTATCAGAGCATTGTTCTTTGGTTATTTTTCTTAAACATTGTCATCTTAATACATAGCTATTATGGGATATATGAAAAGAAGCCAAAAAGCTGCCTTACAACTTGTGTGGTTTTGTTGTGCCGTCTCTCTGCAACATTTAATTATTCATAGATTATTATATCTAATTACAGGACATTTTTATAGTAATGTATTTGATATTGCTAAGTTTTTGTTTGTCCAGACATGATAAAGTTCTATTAGAAATGCATCTGAACATTTCTTTTCTAAGGTACATCCAAGCTGGACAAAAAAAGAAAAAAATCCATCTGCACTAAGAGTAGCTACTTTCAAAAAATTAATAAGCTCAGAAAATAAGCACAAAATTTTTCTCTTTCAAATTTGTATTTTGCATATTGAGACATCCAGAGTTCATATGAAGATAGGGTATTACTTTGTGTATTATCAAATGAATTAAAATGTAAATCTTAGCTGACAAAGTCTAATAACAGCGCTGCAATTAACATAGTTCATTTCAAGGGTTGTTTTTTCAGTTTAGAAACTGACAGCTGTAGAAGTAAACTGTGCTCTTCTTTTCAGAATCCCCATTATGTAGCATAATGTTTTTCACTGTGGTCAAAAAATACATAATATGAGATCTGCCCTCTTAAATTTTTAAGTGTAAGTTACAGTATTGTTAATTATAAGCATAAGGGTGTACAGCAGATCTCTAGAACTTTCTCACCTTATAAAACTAAAACTTTACACCCATCGAACAGCAACTCCTCATTTGTCCCTCCCCACAACCCCTGACAAACGACCATTCTGCTCTCTGTTTCTGTAAGTTTGGCTACTTTAGATATCTCATGTAAGCAGAATCATGCAGTATTTGTCCTTTTGTGATTGGCTTATTTTACTTAGCTAATGTCGTACCAGTTCATTCATGTTGTTGCACAGAGCAGGGCTTCTTTTTGAATATTTAATAATATTCATATATATTATACTATATCATATTATATTATATTATATTATATTATATTATATTATATATCACAATCTCTATCCATTCATTCATTGATGGATATTTAGTTTGCTTCAACATCTTGGCTATTGTGAATGGAGCTGCAGTGAACACGGGAGGGAGAATATCTATTTGAGATCCTGATTTTAATTTTTTTGGATAAGTAACCCAAAGTAGGATTGGTGGATCATATGGTAATTCTATTTTTATTTATTTATTTTTTTTGAGACAGAGTCTCACACTCTCGCCCAAGCTGGAGTGCAATGGCATGATCTCGGCTCACTGCAACCTCCACCTCCCAGGTTCTAGAGATTCTCCTGCCTCAGCCTCCTGAGTAGCAGGTGCCCGCCACCAAGCCCAGCTAATCTTTTGTATTTTTAGTAGAGACGGGGTTTCACCATGTTGGCCAGGCTGGTCTAAAACTCCTGACCTCATGATTTGCCCACCTCCGCCTTCCAAAGTGCCGGGATTACAGGTGTGAGCCACCGTGCCCGGCCCCTATTTTTAATTTTTTGAGGAACTTCCATACTGTTTTCCATAGTGACTGCACCATTTTACATCCCCACCAACAGTGCACAAGGCTTCCAATTTCTCCACATTCTCTCCAACACTTTTTTTTTTTAAATAATGGTCATCCTAATGAATGTGAGGTGGTATGTCCATCTGTAAATGAAAAAGCTATTGAAAAAATTAAATGTGATATAGACCTAAAATAATTATTGTGCTTGTCAAGGAAAAAGCATCCAGTAAGTAGTCGCCATTTTCATTCTCAGATAGATTAGGCAGAGATGAGAGATCAGATGACATGAGGGAAGGCAGATGGTGTGCTTGCGAGGGAGACACCTAGGAGGACATTTTTCTGTGTGGGAGAGCAGGCCTGGGGCATTCTGAGAATGCCAGGCACCAAGATAAGGATAGTGTCATGGTGGCAGGTTTGGGAAGGGGGAGATGATGTAGATGATACTGGTTGATAGGTCTGGAAGGAGAAATGGAAGTTTACAAATTGTTAAAGATAAATTTTAATATTAGATACCCAGGAAACATCCAGTTGGAAATTTGGGGCAGTAGAATATCTGAAATCAGAGCAAGGAATGTTTATTACATGAAGAACTGAAATAGATATCAAAGCTTTGAGTTTGGCTTTGACAGCATCATTGTCATTGTCATTATTACCATAATCATGAATACTGGTCATATTGACTGATAATTCAGGCAGGTAATTATGCCATCTACATATATTATTTAATTTAGTCATCTAACAATCCTATAATATAGAATTTTGAAGATGAAGGAAATGAAAGTTCAAAATTTTAGATATTTTACTCAGATAGTCATACTATTAATAATTCTATATGTCAAGATCTCATAAAATAGTTAAAATAAGAATAAATGTGTATAACTTTTCAACTGAAGTCGATCTTTGAGGAAATTGGATATCATCCATTGATCCAGATTTCCCAGAAGGCCTGAGATTCCATTATCTTTGTTCTAAGGATTTCTAATGTTATTCTCTGAACCCATGAACCAATTTGGACACCCAGCAGGTCTCAGAAACAAGCTTTCTATAAAACCAGTTAAAAATTAGAGACAGTTCTTTCCAAGTTGCCCATTTCCTGCTGCTTACCAAATCATGCAATTCCTTATCCTTTATAAAAATGCTTCATGTTGAGAAGAGTTCTTAACTTTGGAAATTTTGATATGAGAATTATGTTTCTTTACTAAAAATGCTGAAAAATGTTTATGAGATAAAAATCCACATGAGGCTCTAGTGCATATTAGGATAGGCAATATTTTCATTGCTGCCTCATAGTGTTATGAATATAAACAGAAAACTCTCAAATAAACTTGTATCTAAGAATAGAAAGGATGAATTAAACCTCCTCCTCTCCTCTAAAAAGGAGAGGTAAGGGAGGTCCAATCCAGAAAGGGAGAGGGAGGCAGGTAAAGAAGGAGAAGGGGAAATGGGGCAGAGAGGAGATAGAGGATGGATGGATGGATGGATGGATGGATGGATGGATGGATGGATGGATGGATAGATATGCAGTTTATTTATCATACGTATGTATATGTTTTAAAATTTAAAATAAGTCCCAAATTGGATTCATTCTTGATCAAAATTATATTTGACTTAGGATTTGTCAGTTTTGACTACTGGATAATGAGAAAAAATTACTGAGAATATGATATTGTAAAATGTTATTGGCACCAGCACTTTGAGAGAATAAAGCTTTAGATTAACCATTATACTTGTTTAAAGTTAAGAAATAAGATTGGGAAATGTTTACATATCAATTACCATAACAATTAAATTAAATTTATATTTACTTGCTATTTTATCATCATAATGTTTAGTTTTAAAATCCGTTTACTAAAAAAAGACAAAGAAATTTCCCATCATATTAAATGGTATGATGGAAATACTTCTATAGAATAATGATTTGTGATGCTAAGATTTATAAAGGTTTGTTTTAAAAACACATTTGTTAAGCACTTCTTTTTTGTAAAAAACTGTTTTGGTCCTGTGAAAGGAAAATGAAAACATGACATCTCAATGCACTACGCCAAAAGAATAAAATTAAGCTGAAAGCTGAGCCATGCAAGAAAGTGCCTTTCTTTTTGTTTCTAAGCAGATAGCTAGGTATAAAAGGCTAAATATCTCCACAGGTAGCTACTCTATGTTTACCTTATCTAATGTAAAGTGTTGATTTACTGAGCATCAGTTGAATATATAATTGACTAATCTCCTACCTGCTCCTTTTCTCTTGCAACATGAGGATTACCATACCCTCACTCTTTCCCCTCTAGCTCACTTTTTCCCTTTAAATACTTATACTCAAAATCATCTTTGAAGAAAGGTACAGACCTGTCTCCCAGGTGCATGTTTAACTTTGGCAAAATAAAATTCTAAGTTGATTGAGACCTGTCTCAGATACTTTTTGGTTTACAGATTGGTGACCAACAGAAATGAAGGTGACCCTGACCTTTGACAAATCTCTGATCAGTGATCTTATCTATATCAGCTTCAGCTATATTTGTTGCTTAAACCAATAGGACAATTTGCTGAGGCCTGGGAACTCCCTTCTCCAGTGAATCCCTGATCACGCAAAATTTGGTTAACAGCTAAGGTTTATTTTGCTGCACAGCTCCTTTTCTGGAGTTTTACTCGCATCCGATGAGAAAGGTGTGTGTACCTGCTTTCATGACGATAGAGAGCAGACAACTTCTTTCTGGAGTTTCAGCTTGCTTCCAACAGTGAAGGTGAGTTTGAGGTTTTTTGTTTTTTTTTCTCCTTCTAAAGTGGTAGAGAGCACTCCATTCCTAGGTAGGTAGCTGAATTGGAGTATTGTCTTGGAAATTCTCCTTAAAGACTAAAAGTTAAGACTAACAACCAGCTGGCTTTAATTTCTCCTTACAATTAGAGAGCTCAGTAATCATATAAATTGTGCAATTGGTTCTTTTGCTTAACTGTTTTTCGTTTGTTTCTTCTGTTGTTGTTTTTGTTATTTCAGTCTTCTTCCCCTTTGGTTTGACCAATGCTACCTGATTTGGCAAAATCTGAAGGAAACTTCTAAATTATGGGAAACAAGACCTCTGGATTGGCTAAATTCCTGAAGCTGAAAGAAAAGGAAGAAGAAAAACAAAAAGGCCAACAAAAGCAAAAAAAGAGTAATTTTTGACCCCCTGAGGGGCTTTATTTACCTAACAAGTCTACCTTTTGCTAGCCAAGCCAAACTGAAAAAGCAATGGCAGCCATCTAACCCATGCTGTAGTTCAGGAGCTACAATTCTGCCCTTTTTTCACCATGACAGCCTGAGTTTGTTTCCTAATCCAGTCATTTTCCGGTTTGATATTTGTGTTACTTTTGAAATATCAGCAGTTTGTCCCAACTAAAATATGTTAATAAGAAATTTTAAAGGATTTTTTAAGAGTTCCAGTGGTTAAAAGTCAGCTCAGTTTAAAGCAAATACCCAAGATGTATATACATTTAAAAGACCTTTGTCCCCTTTTTTCTCTCCTAGGATCTTGTTTTTTGAGAAAAAGTTTTTTTTTCCTCTTTCTTCTCAGTTGTCTGAATTCTGTTTTTTTCCATTTGCTTCTGACTGTCTCTCCCTCCTCTTGCCACACTCCGCTACATAAAGGACCTAACATAATTTCTAACAGCCTGGGATTCCTTAAAGAAATCAGAGAAGCCATCAGACTCCTTTTTGGGAGAAACCTCTGTTTTTCCTTATGGACTCCCCAAGAGTATAAACAAACAAATTCCTCTCAGATCTTAAACCACTTGCTTTTGTATTGTGTTACCTGTTTTTTTTTTTTCTTTTTTGACTGAAATAGTTATTGCTAGGGGGGCTACTCTTGTATGTTTAAGATGATAAAGGATATGGTTTAAACACTTAGAGAAATGTTGATAAAGAGTCAAACTCTAAAATATTTGAAGAGATTTATTCTGAGCCAAACATGAATGACCAATTGCCTGTGAAACATCCTCAGGAGATTCTGAGAACATGTGCCCATGGTAGTCAGGCTACAGCTTGGTTTTATACATTTTAGGGAGACACAAGACATCAATCAATACATGTAAGATGTACATTGATTCAGTCTGGAAAGTTGGAACAACTCAAAGTGGGGGCTTCCAGGTCATAGGTGGATTCAAAGATTTTCTTATTGGCAATTGATTGACACAATTTACCTAAAGTCCTCGGACCAATACAAGGAAATGTCTGTGTTAAGATAAGGGGTTGTGGAGACCAAGGCTCTTATAAGTAAATGAAGCACCCAGGTAGCAGACTTTAGAGAGAGTATATTATACATATTTCTTATCAGACTTATAAAGTGCCAGACTCTTAATTAATTCTCTCCTGGATCAGGAAAAAGACCTGGAAATGGAAAGGAATTCTCTACAGAATGTAGATTTTCTCTATAAGAGACAGCCTTGTAAGGCCATTTCAAAATATGCCAAAGAAATATATTTTGGGGTAAAATAGTTTAATTTATTTCAGGGTCTGCTGTCTGTCACGTTGGTACAAAGATTCTGTTTTGTCAGTCTTAAGGTTTCTGTTTTAACATTAATGCTGGTCAGCTGTGCCTGAATTCCAAAAGGAGGAAGGTAATAAGGAAGCATATCCAACCACCCATTCCCATCATGACCTGAACTAGTGTTTACTTTATAATGTGCTTGGCTGAGAGGAGTCCATTTAGTTGTTTGGGGAGGCTTAGAATTTTCTTTTGTGTGTTTTACAGAAATGTCTTTGTAACAAAATGCACTGTAAAATCATTTCATGACCTAGTTTCATGATATCTCTCTTTTTGGAGACCCAGGATTCAGTGTGGGCTCTACCTAGAGCTCAGAGGTGCAGTTAAAAGATAAAGACTAAATTTTAAACTACCTATCTAAATAAAATTGGTTTCCTTATAAAATCCTATGGTTGATTTATATAATTTTATGTTTGACTTGGCATCCATTTTTAATTTCCCTCTAGCACAGTGGGCTTTCTTCCTCTCTCTCTCTCTCTCTCTCTCTCTCTCTATATATATATATATATATATATCTGTCTCTCTCTCTCCCCACTTGGAAATGTAAATTTTACTGTCTGATTTTCACCTGAGTTGTTCCTTTAGTATGCAAATTTAGGGCTAACTGGCTGACAAGTTGCCTTGGGTAACGGTTATCAAGAAATTGGAAGTCAAAAATAGGAAGAAAAAGAGGTTTTATGAATTTATAAGATCTACTCTGTCTGCATGTCTAATATGTCTATGTATTTATGTATTGTGTGTATAATGTTTCACTTCCAAATATACATAAAAGAGCTTCATTAGAAAAATAAACATTTAAGCCCAAATGCTTTTTCAAGTTCACGTGACTCAAATAAATGCTTAATAAGTAAACTGGTTTTAAAATTATTGGTAAAATAAAATGAGAAATGTCTTCAGTATTGTCAACATACATTATTGTTTAGATTTATTGGTCAAGCAGCTCAATACTTATCTCTGACAGATATTATAAAGTGTCAAAATTTGGCATGAGAATTATAAAGCTTGCAGCCCGAAAGAGAATTAATTTGTGTTTTTTTTTTTTTTTTTAGAAATAAGGCATTTAATAGTTTTGTTTAATGAAAACACCTAAATCCTGAATTATTGGCCAAAAAGCCCAATATTTATTAAACCTTAAGATTTTTACTTCAATAAACACCTGAAATTCACAGGTTGTAAAATTGGTTAAGAGAAAAATAATGTTAAGTGATGACTACCACAGTTGTCTTAAATAATCTGTTAAAAATAAATTAATTGGGTAAATTTAATGAAATAAATGCTTATAAATTAACTTGTCATATAATTTAGAATCTAAAGTTATGTTGAATTAATTAATAGATATTTATTAAATGTCTCGGTCATTTCCAGTTTTTAAAAAAAATTGTTGGAAAATAGTTTTCTAAAAAAAATGTTTATTTAAAGCAAAATAGTTTTTGTCTAACTCAAAGGTTATTTCTGAAACAATAAATATGAGAGATGTAAAGAAAGTTATAGATATACAAAGGTATTTTTTGGTAAGAAAGAGTCAAAGGACAATAATTTAATATGAGAAAGAGTCTTGTATGGTAAATTTTCTGTCCTAAAATATAATGACCAGGTATTTAAGAAGGAGGGATATTTAGGATAAAACAGGAAGTTCAAGCATGCTGTAAATGGTTTGTGTAAGCTGTAAACACTTTATAAAAAGAGAATTCATGATTAAAAAACTTGATATGATCAAGTTGGTTGTAATTACAAGGAAATAATAACACTTTTTAGAGACTGGGCTTTGATATGAAAAAACACTAGTACACTAAAAACTTGGTTAGAACAAAAAAATTTTCTGAAGTGTTGATTTCTTCTTAATATAATTACAAGATATTTTAATTTTTTTTTTACTGCCAAATTCAACTTTTATTGCATCTTACTATTTTTAACTTTCTCTCTTCTTTGAGAAGGCCTTAGATAACTCTCTCCTGCAACTTTCTCATTAGCTCCCATAATTGTTTTCCCTTCAGTTTCTAAATGCTGTTGTAGCCTGATGCTAAAATGAGTTTCTTAAATGTATAGAGGACATGTTTTCATCCAACATAACATTCCGTGCTCTTGGCTTTTCTTAATATGTCTAAATTGTTCTATAAATCTGAAAACTTTCACTTATAACCCAGGACACACTCTTCCTATGTCTAACTAATTCAGCTACCATTTTCATTAGTTTGACTTACAGGTTTTCTAAATGGAGTCCACATAGGGAAAAGCAATCACACTGTGGAACGTCTTTTTTTTTTCCTTTTGGTAACTGGCCTAACAGATTTTACATTTTATTTATTGAAATAATTCCTATGTCATTGTTACTAACATCTTGATTTGCTTAGGAGGAACTGAAATTTGGCTGGGCACAGTGGCTCATGCCTACAATCCCAGCACTTTTGGAGGTCAAGACAGGTTGATCACTTCAACCCAGGAGTTTGAGACCACCCTGGAAAACATGGTGAGATGCCTGTCTTTAGAAAAAATACAAAAATTGGTTTGATGGGTGGCATGTGACTGTCATGCCAGCTACTTGGGAAGCTGTGGTGAGAGGATTGCTTGATCCAAGAAGGCTGGAAGCTTCAGTGAAGCAAGATTGCACCACTGCACACCAGCCAGGGCAAAAGAGTGAGACTCTGTCTAAAAAAAAAAAAAAAAGAAAGAAAAGTTAAGTACATCCATGTAACTTTTTATGTATTGCTTCTAAAGTCTTTGTGCTATTAAGTTACACGGCTTTGATTCCTGGGTCTATAAAGAACAGCAAATACTGCTAAATCTTAAACACTGACCACAGTTAAAGCCTCATTTTCAGACCCAGGAGAAGATGACAAACAAAATAAACAAGTTCTTGAGACACAGGGTCAGAAATTAAAACTATTCAACCACTCTAAGCCCAGGAACTACCATGAAGAGTTGGGCATGTGAGATTGTAAGTGCTGAATTTGAGAGAGAATATTAATTCAGAGTCTTTCTCTAAAGAAAATATTAATATCAAAGGCACATTGATGCAACCCCAGCATCTTGGCCCCTGTGTCAGATTAACAAGGTTTCCTTGGAGCATTAACCTACTTTTTAATTTAAGAAAAAAATAAAAGGTTATAAAAAAGGCTTATCAAAACTATGTCTAATGGTCAAGATGATTAAAATTTAATAGATTTGTTATAAACAAAGATTTGAGAGACAGATTTAATTGGCCTCCTGCTGTCTTTATTAAGACTTGTTGTTTGAGATATTAAGTCTCCTCTCTCATAGAATAAATGTTTTTTTTTCCCTTTTTAAAGAAATCGTTATCACTTTGGCTAAATTATTTGCTTATTTTACAAGGACCTGTGGTTCTATTTTGTGATATCAAGTAACTTTTGATATTTGACACTTTAAAATCATATTCAAAATTTTTGATCTCATTTTTTTTTATATTAAGTCTCCAGAAGTTCAGAAGACACATATTCAGCTTATTTGCTATAATAAAATCATGCAGGAAGGATTGCAAAATATGAAATGGTGTTTAACCTTCTTTGGATTATAACATTTATATAAACGTGTGACTAGTATATGATCCAAAATTATATGAGAGTTCTGTGATTCTGATATGTATTTGCATATGTCATCAGTAATAATTATGATATTACATAAAATTGTTGTATTTCATAGAAGTAACCAAATTTCCTTATGAACTGTTTCTTCATTCGTGGCTTTTCTAAGACTTTTGTCATCCATAATTGTTGTTTAACTTTGATAATTTTTTTTTTTTTTGAGATGGAGTCTTACTCTGTCGCCCAGGCTGGAGTGCAGTGGCACGATCTTGGCTCACTGCAACTTCTGCCGCCCGGGTTCAAATGATTCTCATGCCTCAGCCTCCTGAGTTGCTGGGATTATAGGTGCCTGCCACCGCACCTGGCTAATTTTTGTAGTTTTAGTAGAGACGAGGTTTCACCATCTTGGTCAAGCTGCTCTTGAACTCCTGACCTCGTGATCCACTCACCTCGGCCTCCCAAAGTGCTGGGATTACAGGCATAAGCCACCATGCCGGACCAACATTGATACTTTAATAGGGCAGTTTATAATCAGCTATGGAACTCTGAGGCACACTTGTAAATACAAGTTTCTGATAACTTTAGAGATTGTACCATTGGAATGGAGAGAAAAACTTCCAGGACTTTCATAGACAGCTGAAGTATTCATAAGGATTATTAATTAAATATCAAGCAGAACAGGAGTTAATTGCATGAACTGAACTAATGGAAGGTTGAAATAATGTTTTACGACTTTTTACTTAAAACATTTGATGATTCTTTTTGTTTTATTTTTCAGACACACAAAAAACTTTATGTTCTTTTAAGCTATTTATAGCTCTTAACAATTTAGTAAAATATATTCTTAGGAGCAAAATTTAAAACATAATTCCTTTCTCTCAACCTAATTTCTCTAAAATTTGGAAGCTATTTTGTGAGTATTATTAATTTATGACAATATAGTGATTTGCAAAAGTTCAGTAAGAATCTGTTTTCTTTTATAACAGAGCATAGTTGGAGACACTGGTTATTTTACCAAGGCTTTGACTGGAATAACATATTTTCACATGTCCTTGAGAAAATGGGGCTGACCTATAGAGCTGATGAAAGCTCCTTAGAAAACCTGGCCCCATACCTTGTCCTTTACAGGGTTCTGACCTGTGGTAAGTAAAGAATGTCAGTTTCTGACACACTCAGGAACCCCAGGTTTTCTTGAGACCTTAAAAAGAGAGAAATTAACCCAATTCACACAGAAAGGCACAGAGAAATTCACTTCAGGCACAGAGAAATCTTTGTCTGGGCTTGAGGCTTTTAAAAAGATGTAGTTTTAGACACCTTATGAAATATGTTCCAGTAAAGCCAATTAAAAAAAAACAGTGAGCTTATATGACAAATGATTATTCTTGCTGCACTTTATGCAAAGAATCAAGCCAAGAATGATAGTACTAAAACTTATTTTACAAATAAATTGATCCTTCTATGATTTTGTCTTTAATAAAAATGGGCAATTGGACAGAGAGAAATCAGGTTTCAAAATAAACTATAGTACAGCTGTTATTAGATTCCAGCTTTGTCTAATTCTTTTCAATTATTATTATTTTCTACAATTAGATTCTAGCCTTGCCTAATTCTTTTCAATTTTTACTATTGTCTACCATTTGGACAAATTCAGTCCAAAATAATGTTTTCAATGTTTTTCCTTTTTTTCTTTTCCTTTTCTCCCCACTTTTCCTGATTTGAAAACATGAAAAATTAAGTTCTGCTATTCTTAAAGCCCTGTGAACTGAAGCTAACAACTTAAACTTCAGAAGACAATAACAGCATCCCATTTATATACACAAACCACTTTCATACCTACCTACTGATGTGTAGACTTCAGGGTAATATGACCTATTTCAGTTTTCCAGGCTTGTTCTTCCCTCTTTTTTTGTTTTGTTTTGTTTTGTTTTGTTTGTGTGTTGTTTTATTTCTCTCTTGTTCCCACTATATTTTCCTCATGGGACATGAGACTCCACAACCTGCTAAAAATGAGCTTTCCTAACAATGTGGGACCTATCTGTCTAGGAATAAACAATCCCAACCATGAGTCATCAGACAAAACCTGAGACCAGAGACTCAATTTCTTCTAAAATGCTTTCTCTTAAAGATTTTTTTAAATTGTGGGAGAAATGTGAAAGGAAAATAAAAACTCAGGACCCCAATTATCTATGCCCAAAGAATAAAATTAAGCTGAAAGCTGAGTCATGCAAGAAACTGCCTTTCCTTTTGTTCCTAAGCAGAGAGCTAGATATAAAAGGTTAAATATCTCCACAGGCAGCTACTCTGTGCTCACTTTATCTTATGTAAAGTGCTGATTTACTCAGCTCCAGATGAATAGATAATTGACTATTCCCCTGCCTGCTCATTTTCTCCTGCAACATGTGGATTGCCATACCCTCCATTTTTCCCCTCCAGCCCACTTTTCCCCTATAAATATTTAAGCCCTCAAAAACATCTTTGGAGAAAGGCACAGACCTCTCTCCCAGGTACATCCTTAACCTTAGCAAAATAAACTTCAAAATTGATTTGAGACCTATCTCAGACACTTTCTCGTTTACATTTCCTTTTGTAAACCATGTTTATTGTAGGAAGTTTATTTTTCTCACCAAACTGTTCTAAGTAACCCACTGATTTTGATCTCACACATCTAATACATACAGTTAGTTAAAAACACACAGAGATTCACCTATTACTGGAGGACTGAAAAATTTGCTAAGAAGAAGAAAATTTTCTTTTTAGCATTTCCCTAAGGTCTATAAATTAACTTATTTTTAATGAGTCTACATGGTATACAAATAGGTTTATGGTCAAACAGATGAGTTTCAATTCTAGATCTTCCATACCATGTGTAACTTTGAGTAAGGTACTTATTTTTCAGAGCTTCAGTTTTATCATTTGTATAAAAATAAAAATAAAAGGATAGCACAAGTAATATAAAAGATAAAAAAGTAAAACTGGACAAACCAATTTTAGAATAACAACTAGTACATGTAAATGAAACATATCTATTGAATAAAATGAATGAGTAAACATGATTAACATTATTCTTGTCAGGCCTCTGAGCCCAAGCCAAGCCATCGCACCTCCTGTGACGTGCACATATACGCCCACATGGCCTGAAGTAACTGAAAAATCACAAAAGAAGTGAATATGCCCTGACCCGCCTTAACTGATGACATCCCACCACAAAAGAAGTGAAAATGGCCGGTCCTTGCCTTAAGTGATGACATTACCTTGTGAAAGTCCTTTTCCTGGCTCATCCTGGCTCAAAAACCTCCCCCACTGAGCACCTTGCGACCCCCACTCCTGCCCGCCAGAGAACAAACCCCCTTTGACTGTAATTTTCCTTTACCTACCCAAATCTTATAAAACAGCCCCACCCCTATCTCCCTTCACTGAATCTCTTTTCAGACTCAGCCTGCCTGCACCCAGGTGAAATAAACAGCCATGTTGCTCACACAAAGCCTGTTTGGTGGTCTCTTCACATGGACGCGCATGAAATTTGGTGCCGTGACTCGGATCGGGGGACCTCCCTTGGGACATGAATCCCCTGTCCTCCTGCTCTTTGCTCCATGAGAAAGATCCACCTATGACCTCAGGTCCTCAGACCAACCAGCCCAAAAAACATCTCACCAATTTCAAATCCAGTAAGCAACCTCTTTTTACTCTCTTCTCCAACCTCCCTCACTATCCCTCAGCCTCTTTCTCCTTTCAATCTTGGTGCTACACTTCAATCTCTCCCTTCTCTTAATTTCAATTCCTTTCATTTTCTGGTAGAGACAAAGGAGACATGTTTTATCCGTGGACCCAAAACTCCAGTGCCGGTCACGGTCTGGGAAGGCAGCCTTCCCTTGGTGTTGAATCATTGCAGGGACGCCCCTCTGATTATTCACCCACGTTTCAGAGGTGTCAGGCCATGCTGGGATGCCTGCCTTGGTCCTTCACCCTTAGCGGCAAGTCCCGCTTTCCTGGGGGAGGGGCAAGTACCCCAACCCCTTCTCTCCGTGTCTCTACCCCTTCTCCACCTTTCTGGGGGGCAAGAAACCCCCAACTCCTTCTCCTTCACTCTTAGCGACAAGTCTCGCTTTTCTAGGGGAGGGGCAAGTACCCCAACCTTGTATCTCTGCACCCAGATCCCTTATTTCCGTGTCCCGACCTCTTATATCTCCGTGCCCCGATCCATTATTTCTGCGCCCCAGCCTCTTATATCTCTGCAACCTGATCCCTTATTTCCATGCCCTGACCTCATATCTCTGTGCCCCAACCCCTTTCCTGCTTTTCTGGAGGGTAAGAACCCCTGAACCACTTCCCTCCGTGTCTCTACTCACCCTTTTCTTTAAACTTGCCTCCTTCGCTATGGGCAACCTTCCACCCTCCATTCCTCCTTCTTCTCCCTTAGCCTGTGTTCTCAAAAACTTAAAACCTCTTCAACTCACACCTGACCTAAAACCTAAATGCCTTATTTTCTTCTGCAATTCTGCTTGATCCCAATACAAACTCGACAGTAGTTCCAAATAGCCAGAAAATGGCATTTTCAATTTTTCCATCCTGCAAGATCTAAATAATTCTTGTCATAAAATAGGCAAACAGTCTGAGGTGCCTGACGTCCAGGCATTCTTTTACACATCGGTCCCTTCCTAGTCTCTGTGCCCAATGCAACTCATCCCAAATCTTCCTTCTTTCCCTCCCGCCTGTCCCCTCAGTCCCAACCCCAAGCGTCGCTGAGTCTTTCTAATCTTCCTTTTCTACAGACCCATCTGACCTCTCCCCTCCTCGCCAGGCCGAGCTAGGTCCCAATTCTTCCTCAGCCTCTGCTCCTCCACCCTATAATCCTTTTATCACCTCCCCTCCTCACACCCAGTCCAGCTTACAGTTTCATTCCGTGACTTAGCCCTCCCCCACCTGCCCAGCAATTTACTCTTAAAAAGGTGGCTGGAGCTAAAGGCATAGTCAAGGTTAGTGCTCCTTTTTCTTTATCCCAAATCAGATAGCGTTTACGCTCTTTTTCATTAAATATAAAAATCCAGCCCAGTTCATGGCTCATTTGGCAGCAACCCTGAGATGCTTTACAGCCCGAGACCCTAAAAGGTCAAAAGGCCGTCTTATTCTCAATATACATTTTATTACCCAATCTGCTCCCAACATTAAATAAAACTCCAAAAATTAAATTCCGGCCCTCAAACCCCACAACAGGATTTAATTAACCTCACCTTCAAGGTGTACAGTAATAGAAAAAAGTTGCAATTCCTTGCCTCCACTGTAAGACAAACCCCAGGCACATCTCCAGCACACAAGAACTTCCAAACGCCTGAACTGCAGTGGCCAGGCATTCCTCCAGAACCTCCTCCCCCAGGAGCTTGCTACAAGTGCCAGAAATCTGGCCACTGGGCCAAGGAATGCCCACAGCCCGGGATTCCTCCTAAGCTGTGTCCCATCTGTGCGGGACCCCACTGGAAATTGGACTGTTCAACTCACTTGGCAACCACTCCCAGAGCCCCTGTAACTCTGGCCCAAGGCTGACTGACTCCTTCCCAGATCTTCTCCGCTTAGCAGCTGAAGACTGACACTGTCCAATCACCTCAGAAGCCTACAGGACCATCACAGACACTCTAGGTAACTCTCACAGTGGAGGGTAAGTCTGTCCCCTTCTTAATCAATACGGAGACTACCCACTCCACATTACCTTCTTTTCAAGGGCCTGTTTCCCTTGCCTCCATAACTCTTGTGGGTATTGACGGCCAGGCTTCTAAACCTCTTAAAACTCCCCCACTCTAGTGCCAACTGAGACAATACTCTTTTAAGCACTCCTTTTTAGTTATCCCCACCTGCCCAGTTCCCTTGTTAGGCTGAGACACTTTAACTAAATTATGTGCTTCCCTGACTATTCCTGGACTACAGCTACATCTCATTGCCGCCCTTCTTCCCAGTCCGAAGCCTCCTTTGCGACCTCCTCTTGTATCCCCCCACCCTAAACCCACAAGTATAAGATACCTCTACTCCCTTCTTGGTGACTGATCATGCACCCCTTACCATCTCATTAAAACCTAATCACCCTTACCCCGCTCAATGCCAAGATCCCATCTCACAGCACGCTTTAAAAGGATTAAAGCCTGTTATCACTCGCCTGCTACAGCATGGCCTTTTAAAGCCTATAAACTCTCCTTACAATTCCCCCATTTTACCTGTCCTAGAACCAGACAAGACTTACAGGTTAGTTCAGGATCTGCGCCTTATCAACCAAATTGTTTTGCCTATCCACCCCGTGGTGCCAAACCCATATACTCTCATATCCTCATTACCTCCCTCCACAATCCATTATTCTGTTCTAGATCTCAAACATGCTTTCTTTGCTATTCCTTTGCACCCTTCATCCCATCCCAGCCTCTCTTCACTTTCACTTGGACTGACCCCAACACCCATCAGGCTCAGCAAATTACCTGGGCTGTACTGCCGCAAGGCTTCACAGACATCCCCCATTACTTCAGTCAAGCCCAAATTTCTTCCTCACCTGTTACCTGTCTCAGCGTAATTCTTATAGAAACACACTTGCTCTCCCTGCCAATAGTGTCTGACTGATCTCTCAAACCCCAACACCTTCTACATCCTAGGCATAGTTAGATATTTTCACCTTTGGATACCTGGCTTTGCCATCCTAACAAAACCATTATATAAACTCACAAAAGGAAACCTAGTTGACCCCATAGATCCTAAATCCTTTCCCCACTCCTCTTTCCATTCCTTGAAGACAGCTTTAGAGACTGCCCCCACTCTAGCTCTCCCTGACTCATCCCAACCCTTTTCATTACACACAGCCAAAGTGCAGGGCTGTACACAAGGACCGGGATCGTGTCCTGTAGCCTTTTTGTCCAAACAACTTGGCCTTACTGTTTAAGGCTGGCCATCATGTCTCCGTGCAGTGGCTGCTGCCGCCCTAATACTTTTAGAGGCCCTTAAAATCACAAACTATGCTCAACTTACTCTCTACATCTCTCATAATTTCCAAAATCTATTTTCTTCCTCACACCTGATGCATATACTTTCTGCTCCCTGGCTCCTTCAGCTATACTCACTCTGTTGAGTCTCCCACAATTACCATTGTTCCTGGCCCGTACTTCAATCCGGCCTCCACATTATTCCGGATACCACACCTGACCCTCATGACTGCATCTCTCTGATCCACCTGACGTTCACCCCATTTCTCCACATTTCCTTCTTCCCTGTTTCTCACCCTGATCACACTTGATTTATTGATGGCAGTTCCACCAGGCCTAATCACCACACACCAGCAAAGGCAGGCTATGCTATAGTACAAGCCACTAGCCCACCTCTTAGAACCTCTCATTTCCTTTCCATTGTGGAACTCTATCCTCAAGGAAATAACTTCTCAGTGTTCCATCTGCTATTCTACTACTCCTCAGGGATTATTCAGGCCCCTTCCCTTCCCTACACATCAAGCTCAGGGATTTGCCCCCGCCCAGGACTGGCAAATTAGCTTTACTCAACATGTCCTGAATCAGGAAACTAAAATACCTCTTAGTCTAGGTAGACACTTTCACTGAATAAGTAAAGGCCTTTCCTACAGGGTCTGAGAAGGCCACGGTAGTCATTTATTCCCTTCCGTCAGACATAATTCCTCAGTTTGGCCTTCCCACCTCTATACAGTCTGATAGCAGACCGGCCTTTATTAGTCAAATCAGCCAAGCATTTTTTCAGACTGTTAGTATTCAGTGAAACTTTATATCCCTTACAGTCCTCAGTCTTCAGGAAAAGTAGAACAGACTAATGGTCTTTTAAAAACACACCTCACCAAGCTCAGCCACCAACTTAAAAAGGACTGGACAATACTTTTACCACTTTCCCTTCTCAGAAGTCAGACTTGTCCTCAGAATGCTACAGGGTACAGCCCATTTGAGCTCCTGTATAGACGCTCCTTTTTATTAGGCCCCAGTCTCATTCCAGACACCAGACCAACTTAGACTGTGCCCCAAAAAAACTTGTCATCTCTACTATCTTCTGTCTAGTCATACTCCTATTCACCGTTCTCAACTACTCATACATGTCCTGCTCTTGTTTACACTGCCAGTTTACACTGTTTCTCCAAGCCATCACAGCTGATATCTCCTGGTACTATCCCCAAACTGCCACTCTTAACTCTTGAAGTAAATAAATAATCTTTGCTGGCAGGACTATGCTGAATCCCTTAGGCACTCTCTAATCAGATGTCCTGGGTCCTCCCAATTCTTAGACCTCTTATACCTGTTTTTCTCCTTCTCTTATTCCATTTAGTTTTTCAATTCATACAAAACTGTATCCAGGCCATCACCAACAATTCTAAATAATTCTTCTAACAACCCCATAATATTACCCCTCACCACAAGACCTCCCTTCAGCTTAATGTCTCCCACTCTAGGTTCCCACGCCACCCCTAATCCCACTTGAAGCAGCCCTGAGAAACATCGCCCATTATCTCTCCATACCATCCCCCAAAAAATTTCGCCACCCCAACACTTCAACACTATTTTGTTTTATTTTTCTTATTAATATAAGAAGGCAGGAATGTCAGGCCTCTGAGCCCAAGCCAAGCCATCGCATCCCCTGTGACTTGCACGTATAGGCCCAGATGGCCTGAAATAACTGAAGAATCACAAAAGAAATGAATATGCCCTGCCCCGCCTTAACTGATGATATTCCACCATAAAAGAAGTGTAAATGGCCGGTCCTTGCCTTAAATGATGACATTACCTTGTGAAAGTCCTTTTCCTGGCTCATCCTGACTCAGAAAGCTCCCTCACTGAGCACCTTGTGACCCCCACTCCTGCCCGCCAGAGAACAAACCCCCTTTGACTGTAATTCTCCTTTACCTACCCAAATCTTATAAAACAGCCTCACCCCTATCTCCCTTCGCTGACTCTCTTTTCGGACTCAGCCCGCCTGCACCCAGGTGAAATAAACAGCCATGTTGCTCACACAAAGCCTGTTTGGTGGTCTCTTCACATGGACGCACATGAAAATTCTCAGCTCATAAAGGGTCACAATACAGGTTTATATTTTTTCACACTAAGAATTACTTTATTTCCATTTTATGGCTATAATAGATATTTTTTATTGACAACTTTTGAATTGTTTAGGACACACAAACAAACAGCTAATTTTCAAAAGTCCATGCTCATCACCTTTTTCATGTTCAACTCAAACCCACCTTCTCTGAGAATCTCTCACACTCAACTGTCTTCTCTCACCAATTATATTTATCTTCTAACACAATGATTTGCTTTTGTTGACTTTGCCATTGTTTCCAAGCCATTTTAAGTGTTTCTCTTTTCTCTTCTGGACAAGATTCCTTCTTCAAAGACAGGAAGGTGTAACATCTATCAAAGTGCTATGTGTATGGACACACAGCAGGTGGGCAGAAACAAAATTCATGTAACCTAACCTAGGGGACAGGCACAATTTCATCAGTGCCAGTCGTGTAGAGACTGTGTGCAATATAACTGCCTTCAACAGCATTGAATAAACAGTTACAGAATAAAGATGTCACTCTTTCTGTGCTATGATGTAAACTAAGAAATAACTTTAATACCTGTTTTATCTACAACATAAAATCATTATAATTTTAGAAAAAAAAACTGATCATATCATGCTGAAAAAAGAAAACCCAAGACCAAATATCCTGTCATACTGAAATGAATCAAACCAATTGTTCATAATAACTATGACCAATTATTAGATATTTAATACATGGCCAACACGGTACTGAGTGCTTCCAAATGTAATGTCATTGAATGTTTCTCATCAAAACCTAAAGAATTAAATGACTGTTACTCTCATTTTACAAATGAGGCAAAAATATATAGATAGATTAAATACACATTCAAATTCACCTCTACTAGTAGGCAGAGTTGGGATAGCAATGGTGTTTCTAACTCATAGCCTGTTTTGCCTTTTTCATTGCGCTTTGCTGCCTTTCAAAGGTCGCAAGCCTTTATTTATTTAGAAAAATACAGAAAGTTTATAGGTAACCAGCTGCACAGAGAGTGCAATAAAATGAAAGGAAGAATCGAGCAGGATCTGTCAACTTTCTGATTCTTCTCTAGAAACAAAGGCCTCTAGTTAAAGCTAACAGAAGCTCAAGGTAAAAATCAAATCCTTGTTTGTTAGACCCTGAATATTTAAAGTGATGACTGCTCTGCTTCTACTAGCTTTCTCCCAATTCCTGAAAGATCAGACACTTCGACTTTCCTAACTTCAGTATAATAACATATTCACACAATTCCCCATATGCAAGATTAGTCAGTCTGACTCTCTAAAAGGAGCTGATGTCTACAACAATTTATTGGGTTTAACAAGGAGTCCTATATGGGGCTTCGTAGTGTGTGTCATGTAGAGGAGAGGAGGGCAGACAGATTTATCTGGCATATCAGAAATTCTGTTGCAGCTAAGCAGCCCAACTGAAACAGAATGCTTCCCTTATGCTTCTTGTCAGGTCAAACCTGTTTCAGTGTGGTGATTGTGCTTGCTACAACCAGTCAATCCACAAGTGTAGTTTAAGACAATTGCATTTCAGTGTCATGAAGATGCAGCTGTGTTATGGCTCCAAGATGGACAGTTTGGTGCTTGAGATTCATTTTGTTCATTCTCTAGCAGAAGGTGGGAGACTGAGTCTTCTCATGTCCTACTTTTCTTGAAAAAGGAATGACAGTCAAGAAAAACATTATTTCAAGTCCATAACTAAACTTAATACAAATGAATGCAATCTTTTCCTAAAGTTTTTAAAATAATGCTTTATACAGACACCTTACTTGCAAATATCAAGCCCAAAAGCTCCACTTCCAAATCAGGTGGAGAACACCAGGCTGTGAAAACTCTCGATTTCCTTTGATATTGAAGGTTCACTTCCTTGATGTGGCTGCTAGATGTTGGTTCCCTTTTCTAACACTTCTCCAAAAGTTGTAACTCTTTTCAGGATAATGGCATCTTCCTGCAGAACAGCGCAATTCTTCAGGGCGAAGCCTGTGATTTTACAAGGAGTTCCCCAGCCTTCCCATCTGATCTTCTGATTAGGACCTACAGTCTTGATGTATCTCCCTAAACTCCAAAACGCCCACCGCAAGTATTCTGCAGCTCCTTATGACTCTTGGCAGTAGCACACGTGGCTTCATTTCTCATGCTGTGTTCATGTTTATTCCCCTGCTTTGCCAGCTTCCAAATATTCCATGATTTTTGTATATTTTCCAATATTTAGGGTTAAGGTGAGGGTTACAGAAGGAAATAATATTGTAGACTCTGTAACAATTCACCAACCTAATTGGTCTTTTTCCATTTTCTTCTCTCCCCATTCTGTGCCTGGATTCTGTTCTTCTGAGACCTCCACTCCTGACACAGTGCCGGCCATTCACAGGTGGCCCACTGGCAACTGTGCTCCAGTACCCGCTTCACTCTGCTTCATCCACCATCTTTCCATACTTACACTTATGTTAATTGTACTTTCAAGGTATCCCAGTATTCATTTTGACCCAGAGGTGCGAAGAACATTAGCATTTGTGTCTCTTTCCTTTTTTGCCTTCCAGTATCATGAACAATGAAATGAAGAAGCAACAAGTAAGCCAGGCTAAAAAACAAGGAAACCATCTACCCTCCATACAAGCTACATCTAAGGATGGAATTGGAAATAAAATGTATTCAAATAACACATATGTATCCAAGCTTACTTTAGAACATTTTATAAATGTAACACATTTTGTAGTCTTATGTTTTTAAAAAAGTGAACTTTTCCTTTGCTCAGTTTTCACACTGTTTAAAACCAACAAACCTATCTCCATGTAAAAATATGACTAAGTCAAAACAAAATTGTTAACATTCATTTTTCCCTAATTAGGGGCTTCATTTGTAAAGAAAATATTTAATTTAGGTAATTAGTAGAGTAAATAATGAGGATTTAATTAAATTTTGAGGCTGCTTCCAGGTCCTAAAGTTTAGATCACTGAAATAGCTGTAATTGAACATTTGGCATTTAGATAATCAGGACAGTATGAGAAGCACAGTCTTTATTAGCATTGTTTTTCTTCAGATGAGCTAAAGGCCCCCATGGGCACATATTGTATATTGTGGCCTAGAAAAAGAATACTTATGGTTCTGTCATTGCAATATTAATATTGGTAACTTCCCCCTTGGATAGTCATCTTCATGATAATATACTTCATGATTAATGTAGCCACTTCTCATGAAGAAACAGGGTTTTCACAGTATCTCTACTCAGGTTCTTCAGCAGGTAGTTTAAATAATTTAGGTTTTCTTGTTGATACTTCCATCACCTGTCACTAATTATTTGGAGTAACATTAAGGAAAGCTAAGCTCTGAAGAGTAAAGGAGCTCATACTTGCAACTTTCATCCTGGGTCTCGTATGTATGAACTTTTATCATCCTCAGGTTGAGATGTTTCTAGTTTTTATTAATATCAGTGTGTAGATGCAGCAAACATTAAAAAGATCCTGGCTCTTGCTTATCTAAAATGTCTTTTCTTGTAAGTTTTCTTCAGAATTACATTATTCTATGACAGTAACCATGTATGAAAGCAGAAGAAGGAAATTTAATAGGTGAGGCTGGGCAAGCATAAAGGAAGGGATTGGTTAAATTGCAAAAAGGAGATTGAGGCTGGGCATGGTGGCTCACACCTCTAATCCCAGCACTTTGGGAGGCTGAGGTGGGTGGATCACTTGAGGTCAGGAGTTCAAGACCAGTCTGTCCAACATGGTGAAACCCCATCTCTACTAAAAATACAAAAATTAGCCAGGTGTGGTGGTGCACACCTATAATTCCAGCTATTCAGGAGGCTGAGGTGGGAGGATTGCTTGAACCTGGAAAGTAGAGGTTGCAGTGAGCTGAGATTGTGCCACTGCACTCCAGCCTGGGTGACAGAGTGAGAGTCTATCTCAAAAAAAAAAAAAAAAAAAAAAAGAGAGAGAGAGAGAAAGAGAAAAGGGGCTGTTTTAGTCCATTACTGTTGCTAACAAAATATCTGAGTCAGGGTAATTTATAAAAATCGCTATTTATTTTCTCACAGTTCTGGAGGCTGGGAGTCCAACATGAAGGTGCTGGCAGATTAGGTGTCTGATGAGGACTGCTCTCTGCTTCCAAGATGGCACGTCTTGCTGCATCCTCACATGGTAGAAGGTGGAAAGGGCTTGCCTAGTTCCCTTCTGCCATTTTCTAATCCCACCCCTGAAGGTGGAGCCCTCATGGCATAATCACCCCCTAAAGGCCTCACTTCTTAATACTATTCCACTGGGGATTAAGTTTTACATGAATTTTAAAGGGACACAAATATACAAACCATAGCAGATACCCACTGAAGTTTGGTGGATTAATTGACCAAACTGGGATTGTCTTTATATTTGACCTTAGCCCCAGGCAAAAAACTGATCCAGTCTGTGAATGTTCCCATTTGTGAAGTAAAGAAAACAGGCAAGTGAAATGTGAAAGTCCCTGCACTTCTGGCTGTCCCCTGACCTATCCATTACCATTGGCTGAGAATGGGTTCTGCTCTTCCATACCACCTCTGCCACTAGGAGGGCTTCAGCCAATGCTCTTACTTTTTATTATCTCAAGAGTGTTTTTATGAAAAGACAAGAGTTAGAGAAGGGTGAGGAAGAGAAAGACCAAACGGTTTTTCAACAGTTACCAAGTCCTTCACAAGTATTGTCTCAGGATTCTGTGAGATAGTCACTGTTCTTATCTACATGTTAAGGATGGAAAGATGGAAGCTCAGGGAGCATAAAATACTTTCTTAGGGCCACATAAGGAACAAGTTGTAAAAGAATAGATTTGAACCCACATCTGTATAACCCCGAAGTGCACACTTACGCCAGTTACCCTCTCTCTCTAGCTGGAGATGGTAATGTATACAAAGACATAGGGTCATGTAAAAGCAGGGATTGGAGGGACTGGAAAATGAAGTGCATTAATGACATGGACTATAATTTCAAGTAGCAGCCCTTGCAAAGGAACTTTCTAACCCCTTGGATTGTGGCCAAAAAAAAGCGAGTATCCACAAAATCCCTGTGGCAGTGCTGCCAGCTTTCAGTTTCAGTGTCATCTTATATGTATGTGAGTGTGTGTGTGCACCATGTTATACACTTTTATCTATTGTCAAGAAAAATCTGAAATTTACCTAGATTGATCTTAGTTCAGGGCACTAACTGGGCATTTTAATTTATTTTCAGAGAGTTTGATTTTCAAAGAGACTAATTAATATTCTGTTTGAAGAAACAAAATCTAATATAGCTTTAGAGTACCATTCCTGTGGAGAATAGGTCACCTCCAAGAAAAACAGCGTTGCCTTCATAACCTTCAGGTAACATGCATGGGTCTCCATAGAGAAAATGTCTTCGTGAGCAGCAAGAGTAACAAACTTATTTTGTGAAGAAGCAGTCTTTTGGAATTAGGCAAAAGAAAAATAAGATTATTGATAGGAAAATACAGAATAAAAAAATTATCTTGAAATAATCATAGTGAAGAGCAGTGAGTTGATAAATATATAGGCTTATACTCACAAGTGGTACTTATTACATTCATTTTTCTGATTAGAGAAAAAATGATTTTTATTATTTAAAAATAGAAACATACAAAGAAGCAGAAAAATGTACTTACAATCCCAATATCAAGAGGTAACTTTATCACTACTACTAACCATTGCAGTATAGGCCAGGCGCAGTGGCTTACACCTGTAATCCCAGCACTTAGGGAGGCCGAGGCTGGCGGATCATGAAGTCAGGAGATCGAGAACATCCTGGCTAACATGGTGAAACCCTGTCTCTACTAAAAATACAAAAATTAGCTGGGTGTGGTGGTGCACGCCTGTAATCCCAGCTGCTTGGGAGGCTGAGGCAAGACAATTGCTTGAACCTGGGAGGCGGAGCTGGCAGTGAGCTGAGATGGTGCCACTGCACTCCAGCCTGGCAGCAAAGCGAGACTCCATCTCAAAAAAAATAAAAATAAAAATAATAAAAATATTGCAGTACATTTCCTTTCAATCTTTTCTTTTCTAAAACACACATTTACCTAGTCAAAATTCCATTCCATAAAAATTTTACTTATTGATTATAATTTCCTAAATATCTTGGATGACAGGCAGCAATGAGCTTGTGCACCAGCTCTGGCAGAGGCTTCAGCTGCTAGAGGAGGACGAGCTCCTCAGACTCTCTATTTCCCCAGTGCTACCTGGACTCCAGTATCAAAGCAGCAGTACCGGGCCTGCTTCTAGATCTTGGCCTTCAGTGCTGGCTTCATGCAGGACTCACCTGTGGAGTTTAAAAACTTGAAGTGACTCCCAGGCCCTATCCTAGAACAATCAATGCATCTAGTGTTCATGATCCTGGCAGGACTAAAGGAAGGACACAAAAAGGAATGGTAGCCCCTTTGAACACCTCCAAATAGATTTTATACAAATGCCCCAAGCATTCGTATAGCCCCAATGGCTATGACTATGTTCTGGCTATTGTTTACTTATTCTTAGGGTGAATTGAAGTTTTCCTGGCCAAAGAGCTATAGTCCCAAAGGTAGCAATAATAATAATAACAATATAATATATTACCATAACTAATTAAAATAATGTGTAATGTGTATTACATTATATGTTATAATATAGTTCTATATATTTATATGATATATATCATATGTGTAATAAATTAATTATAATATAATTATTATTGTTCAATTTTCTTTTCTCAGTTTGAGGTGGAGTGGTGATGATGGGCTTCAGTTATCTCTCCAGCGACAGCACATATTTCACTGGTATTGTGATTAGTTATTGCTGAAAGTTAACCTTTTATTCTGAAACTCTACTGTCCTTTTTATCCAAAATGATCAGGAAATGTGGAGAGAACCAATGGAATTATAAGCAAAGCTCTAAGAAATTCTTGAAACTTCAAAGACTAAAGTATTACCATTCAGACTTGATAGCAACGAGACCAACTCCCTCTAGGATCCAAGGGCTATCTCCTTGTCACTTAATAACAAGCCATCTATGTGTTTGGGAATTTCATTTCCAACCTCAGAGTCTACCTTTTACAAAGTGATGTGAGTAAATACTACACGGGGTTTATCTGTTACCTCCAGCTTTATCACTAACTGCTTCAAGCTCCATTTTTAGAACAACCACCCAAGCATTCCTGGCATGATCTGAAGCCTGAAAAGTTGATCCTCTGGCCAAAGCATTGGAGATCTCTGTCCTTGAAGCATGATGGACAGAACATTATAATGTGCTGTTAACAATTAGCATGGCAGTAAAACGCCAAGATATTGATCGTTAGATTCGTGATTCTCAATTAACAAGAATTATACCATTTTCTCTAGACCACTGGATGTCCATTTCATTAGTTGTACATAAACTGAAGATTCCCAGGCATCATTCAGAAATAGGCTTCTGCAGAGGGTGAACTGTGTCCTCCCAAGACTCTGATAGAGCTGATCACTGCAAACATAAACTGCATCCATCGAAGACAACAGAGCAAGATTAATTTTTTGATTCCCAGTATTATTTTTCTTTGTTCACTTCTAATCTTATGTATTATTATACTTTGATACCCTCTACTAACTAAATACATGTTTTTCAACATATACTTCATTATCACCATTCTGCTACCTTTTATCCCCTAAGATCTTCTGTCACATAAGGAAAAACAAACTCTTGCTCATTTTTCTTTTAGATGCTATTCTGAATTTAATTCACAACTGGATCTGTCATCCTGCAACTGACTCTGCTGACCAAAAAAATAATGTAATAGCCATTCCTTTCAACACATCAAAAGGAAGATATTATCTTATAAGATTGTTCTGATCCTTGTATTCCTATCACATTATGAATTCCAAACTTCATCTTTGTAAAATAAAAAAAAAGGACCCTGACTCCATAGCAACAAAATGCTTCTCAGGCCATCACAAAACCTAGCATACCAGAAATGAAAACTAATATTGGAGCTGCATTGCTAAAATCATCAGTCTATTCTATTCAGAGATCCTCCAGGCAATAATAACAACAGTAATAATGGTGACCTACCTCCTTTAAAGGAACAACAATTGGATCACTCTTGAGGAAACACTATGTATATTGCCAGTAGGATCTGTACCCCTTTAAGGTACTTCTTATATCTTCTGATCAGAAAGTTTCACAAAATCAGTTAAATTTATGATCTAGTATTGTCATGAACAATCCCACAGCTGTTGAATTCCTTTTAGCTAGCCAAGGAAAAACGTAAGCTACGGCAAACAATTCTAACATAAATATTATACCTGTATAAATACTGCAAGTCAAATAGAACAGTCTGTGTCTCTGCAAAAAAAAAAATGATACAGATAGATAGATATAGATATAGATGATACAACCCGGCTCTCTAGAAGCACTGGTTTTCTGGCTAAAATACACAGGAACACATATATTTGGGGACATTATGTTCACCCAAAGCTTCAAATAGCTTGTGATAGCGTAGTAGTTACTCCCACCCTCACCCTCACTGTCTCATTATTTGTCTCCAAAACAGTTTTCAATATTGGACTAAAAAGAGTCAGACTGTGATGACTTCAGTGGAGGGGTGAGGGAGGGTTAGAAAGCAACTGTTTAACCCACACAGCCTTAAGGATCGCTATCTTCTGAACTAGAAACTTCATGGCATTTTTATCAGCACTTCTTCTGTTTCCCCAAGTTTTCCAAAACCTTTTATTTGATTTCAAACAACCCAAAGGAAATGGTTTGGGAATTTCAAAGTGAAGAAATAGAAGATGTTGTTGGTGCCCTATCCAGACCCACAGCTGCCTTCTGTGTTCCCGCAGGACTCAGACCTGATAGCTTTTCCAGAGGAACTCACCAGGGGTGCTGTTGCCTCTGCCTCTGGGTTTATAATTCTCAAGCAGACAATTAATACCAAGGTTGGGAAAGCCCAGTTCCCTTGTCTTAAGGCAACACAAAGTGAGGTGCAATTTACAGGTGAATCCTTCAAAGAGGAGCAGGTTAAGACTAGACTTCACCTGAAATTGCATCCTGGCTGGTCTTCCTTCCCCTTGCTATGATCTCTCTCCATCTCCTAAGAGTTCCCACTTAATAAATTACTTGTACACGATTCGATTCCCCTTTTTAGGCTCTGCTTTAAAGCAGCCTGACTGATCCATTCTCAGGGATTATACCAAGTGCAAATTGGTCGAGTCATTGTTTAGTTAAACTCAGATTCTTATGTCCAAGCTAGATCAGCAACATAGTTCTTCTGTCAATACTCTTATAAGAGAGCATTCATGTAATTCATTCATTCATTCATTCAATGTATATGTGTTGAAATCATGCTCACTGCTGGATTTTTGCTGGTTTCTGGGGATGTATCAAGGCCTACAGCAGAGGCCCTTCCTGCCCTCTTAGAACTTTCCATACACTGAGATTCCTTAGTGTGAGAAGCACAGATTTACCCTTCACTTTTGCTTATAACAATTCACTCACTAGTAATGAAGGGCCTCATTTTATGCCATGCAGAGAACTGAAATAAAATCCCAGAGGTTTTATGTAAAGGTTATGAATCAGCAGTAGTCACACCTCTAAGGCACCTTGACTCCCACTCCTTTCTTCCTACCACCCAATCACACTTCTTCATATTCTTCAAACCTGTGCCACATGCATGCAGGGCTTTAACAGCTCTGAATAGCTGTAAAAACACCTCAGTACTTATTCCTTTTTCCAGGAATTATCAGAGGTATTTATTTTTGTTTGGGAATTACAAGGTTGCCTCCAACATGTCCAAACACATAAATCTTTACAAACCTTCAATCCATATTCTGATCCTTTCTAGCAAGCTAGAGTTTTTATTTTTAAATATTACCTCTTAATTAAAAAACTCATAAATACCTATTGATGTGATCTGTAATATTTATATGTATTAGATTTTTTAACAGACAAAATAAAACCTTATCAATAAATCACCTTTTCATTGTTAATTCTTTAGTGGTATTAGTGCTGCTCTAATAATTCAACCTTGGATCAGAGAAAAAGCCAAATAAAAAGTTATAAAATTAATTAGTTTATTTATTTATGTTCATGCTCATGGAAAATCAGTATAAGATAGAGAGAAGAGCTTGGACTCTGGATTGCAAATACATGGTTTTGAAACCCAGGAACACCACTTGGGCAATTAATGGAATGATCATTACCTTAATTTATCCTTTGTACAATGAGGATAATAAGGTCACCTAACTCACAGGGATGCTTATAGAATCAAATGACTTAAAGTGCTTAGAAGAGTGCTTTGCATGCAGTAAATTCCCACTACATGCTGGCTGTTGTTATTATTATTATTATCCCCATGATACCGGATTCCAATTACCCTTCCTCGAGAAGAACATGTTGCCTACAGTCTTAATTCATTTATATCGCTATAAGGGAATATCTGAATCTGGGTAACTCATAAAGAAAAATGGTTAATCTGGCTCATGGTTCTGCAGGCTGTACAGGAAGCATGGGATCAGCCTCTGCTTCTAATGAGGGGTTCAGTCTGCTTCCACTCATGATAGAAAGAGAAGGGGAGCTAGCACCAGGCGCAGTGGCTCATGCCTGTAATCCTAACACTTTGGGAGGCCGAGGCAGGCTGATCATTTGAGGTCAGGAGTTCAAGACCAGCCTGGCCAACATGGTGAAACCCTGTCTCTATTAAAAATATCAAAAAAATGAGCCGGACGATGCATGCCTGTAATCCCAGGTGCTTGGGAGGCTGAGGCAGGAGAATTGCTTGAGCCCAGGAGGCAGAGGCTGCAGTGAGCTGAGATTGCACCCCTGAACTCCAGCCTGGGTGACACAGCGAGAATCCGTCTCAAAAAAAAAAAAAAAAAAAAAAGGAGAAGAGGAGGAGCTAGTGTGTGCAGAGATCACACAGAAAGAGAGTGGAAGCAAGGAAGGGAGAAGAGGGGTGCCAGATTCACCTATGATCTGAACTTTATGATAGACAGCTTCCTGTTTGCTATTAAATTATTTGAAAGAAAAGTAGAACATGACCCAAAATAATTCAATGTGAGACATTTTCCTCTTATTGATAAAATTTCTAAGAAGAAATCCTGCTAATACAGAACATTTTATAGAATGATTGAGGCAGAATATACCATTTCCAAGACAGTAGTCTCCAAGTGGTGAGTTTGCCATGACCCCTGGCTGGATGCTTGTTAGATGCAGATCATGTGGGTCTTCTCCACCCAGCTCCCAGAATATTGATGGGATAAGGACATGCAAAGGATATGCAAGGATATAGGCCAAAATGGACATTAATGGAAGGTAGCTAGGTTTGCATTCTATTTAAAGTACTCTGCCCCAAAAGACTGTCCTCTAGAGTGAAGAAAGCCATGCAGTGAAAGTCTAGGTAGGCTGCACCACTAGAGCAGGGGCTAAAGAAAGAGCAGCTCCCAAATCGGCAACTAGTGCAGCTTTGGAAGACCCTCGGCGGTTTGCCAAGGGATCTACATCATTGTCTGATGAGAGAATGGCTCAGTCTCGAGCATGAAAATGCATTTGATATCTTTTTAAAAACCTGCAAATATCTCTAGCTAAATAAAAGACATTCTTGTCCCTTTCTACTTTCCTCTCTTCCTCACATGGATGATAAAAATTGAGGATGAAGAACCTGGGAGAATTCTTTAAAAGCAGACGCTTTCCCCCTTATCCTACCCTAGCGTGCTAAGCTGGTGGTGGGTGCAGGGGTGGGAGAGAAGATTTAAATCAGATGATAAATGAAAGATTGTATGTCTTAAAATTTTTTTTTATTGACTGCCTTCAAATAGGCTGCTATTCCTCTTCACTTAGTTAATATTGACCAGAGATTATTCCCATAGTTTAAATTGTAATTTAAATCAGATGAAACTTCAATATCCATCAGATTTGTAATACCTGAACATGAGATCTGTGTGAATAACACAGTGTGAATCTTATGAGATCTGTGTGAATAACACTGTGTGAATCTTATGCAAGATTACCTTTCAGAGATGAGAAAAACAACAGCATTAGTTTGAAGGGCACTGGTGAGAACAGAAATAAAACTATTTGCTCATTATCTAACACTAAGTGTAGCCAACCCAATAAACAAGTTATATCTGTAAAGTACCTGGCACACAGTATGAGTTCAAAACATGTTAGTTCCTTCCCTTCCCCATTTCTTCTTATTACTAACTAATTACTTACTACCCTTCACAGGTCCCCAGGACACTAAAGTGTCCTTCTCTGTGACATTTCACAGGGAGTCACCATGAGCTCTGAAGGAGATCCAGGCTTCAAATATTTCTCCATTCACACACTTTCCAGCTCTCTGAGATCCTTATGTTCACTCTTAATGGGAAAACTCAATTGCAGGGAAATAACACCAAGAATGACTATAAAGAAAAGAGAACTGAATTTTACATTGGCCATATTCTCACCCTCACATGATTAAGTTGATCATGTTTTAACACTGCTCAGATAGTACAAGTTTTCAATGGAACATAGACAAAAAATTATTTTTGCCAGTTATATCAAATTGAGGCTTTGATTCCTATAGATTTTCTATTATAAGTACTTCTGCTAGCATTTATATTTGTCAGTTCACAGAAGTACCTATAATAGAAAATCTAAACAACTTAAACTATTGTAATAATCTCTGGTCAATTTTAACTAAGTAAAGAGAAATAGCAGCCTATTTGAAGGCAATCAATGAAAAATTTTTAATGACATGCAATCTTATTAACTTACAAAGTCAGCGGAATTTACCTGAAATGTATTCCTTAAAGGAAGTGCTTTGCTGAGTATATGAGATTCCCATTAGCATTTTATGTAAATAGGTGGAATTGTGTTTGGAAAATTTATTCTCTCACAAAATGTAAATATTCTACCTGATGCCTTATTATTTTGTTTAGCAGATCGTTGTCCTTAATTAATTTATATCAACCTTCAGGCTGGCCTTTATTCACATTTTCCCAAATTATAAATCTGTAAATTGAATGTATAATCACAAAATGAATGCTGTTATGTTTCTGTTATAATTTCCACGAACATCACGAGATACTGGATTAATTGAAGGAGTCTGATAGATGCAGAGCTGGCTAGGAGACGGGAGAAACCTATAGCACAAATGGATGGATGGCAGGGCCTGGGAACTGGGCCTGAAGCTCTGACACTGTTGTTGTAGTGGGCTTGGTGATAGAAAGAAGACCAGAGGCTAGGCAGGTACTCACCAGGGGCCATGAGGACATGGCATCGTGCCTTCCCAAGTGGGAAGAGCAGAGCCCCATGGGCTGATGTGGAACCCGCTGACAGGAGGTCTGGCTGTGAGAAGCAGGACACCTGGAAATTGGGACTGGACTTCAAAGGGGCCTGACAATGGCAAAGCAGGTTTCCAGAACAGAGGTTCAGTCCTGAAAATGTTATCAGAACTAACACACAGTGTAAAGACCAGATTTGCTCCAACTGTGTTTAGTCCTCCAGATCACAGCACTAGATCACAGCCAGAAATGGTTCTAGCATTTGGGGCTGCCTTGAACCTGCAGGTGGGTTCAAGTAGACTTTGTTGTTAAGAAAACAGAGACAGAGAGCAGGAACTTCCATGAATTTTTATGCATGCTTTTAGATTTACAATAGATTCTTGAAAGAACTATTCATCATTCTGACTCAATTTTTCCAGCTTCAAGAGAAGATTATTTTTGTGTACATTCCTTACGGGAAAGTTGAGATAATTTAATGTGATTATGGCCCAAGAGTGCTTTGCATTTATTTTCTAGATTAGAAAGTCTCAAAGGCAAAACTTGGTTTAGACAAGGCTTAATTGGAAGCAGTTTATGGTATAATTATGCTACTGTGAAATGTGACATCCCTAGAAAGTGTCACATTAAGCTTTACTGAATCTATTCTTATCATCACTAGAGCCTCCTAAATTGTATATTATACATACATAAACACACAGAGACACACTATATGAAATTGCACTCGCAGTCTTTCTCTCTTTGTATATAAATATGTATGCATGTTTAAATAGATTATATATACATAAATATACTGCACAAGCTTACTCTTTATGCAATACGGAGAAAAGCAACAAGTTTTGAAAGTCAAGTAAACAGAAAGACAAGCGTTTACTTTGCCCAAAGCCCAGTTGAATCACTTCTTAGACTTTTAGAAAAGAGGCTAGAATTCAACAGCAAATTTTCTACACAGTTTATTAAGGCAGAAGATAAAATACTTCCTCCAATAAGAAAGAAAAATTGAGAGTGAAAAAATATAAACTCTGACAAGAGCTGTCTGGGATCCTTAATGGAGTCTAAGAAATAAAAGTATTTCCAGAGCATGGAAAAGGGAAGCAGACTCGCTTCATTGAAATCCTCCCTCCTTTCCTACATGCCTTGTTGTGAAACCACTCTTTTTCTCTCCTAGTTTAGTTTTGCATTTCCTCATTCTCCAGAGAAATTTGATGGAACTCCAGTTCTTATACATTTCTTATGTGCTCAATTATCCTTTGACTTCTTTTGCATTTATTCTCTCTTTGGTTTTATCCAGTCTTATATGCTGGTTTTCCATCTCTCAATTTTATTGTTTTTAACTTGTTACATAGTAGAATGCCATTTTATTATTCTTTTTCCATCTATCTCCAGATTTGACACTGAACATACTTGAAATACATGATGAGGATTTATTTTAACCTCAGATATTAAATGAAGTCTTTCTCTCCTTATTCCTCTCCATTTCCCTTACACTCTTCCTTTGCTCTCCTCTCTCCCTTTCCTTCCCTGTTATTCTCGTCAATTAGAAAAGATGTTGTGAACATCATTCTCAGCAAACTATCGCAAGGACAAAAAACCAAACACTGCATGTTCTCACTCATAGGTGGGAATTGAACAATGAGAACACGTGGACACAGGAAGGGGAACATCACACACCGGGGACTGTTGTGGGGTGGGGGGAGGGATAGCATTAGGAGATATATCTAATGTTAAATGACGAGTTAATGAGTGCAGCCCACCAACATGGCACATGTATACATATGTAACTAACCTGCACGTCGTGCGCATGTACCCTAAAACTTAAAGTATAATAAATAAATAAATAAATAAATAAATAAATAAATAAATAAATAAAAGATGTTGTGGCCAGGCGCAGTGGCTCACTCCTGTAATCCCAGCACTTTGGGAGACCAAGGCAGGTGGATCACGAGGTCAGGAGATCAAGACCATCCTGGCCAAAATGGTGAAACCCTGTCTCCACTAAAAATACAAAAATTAGCCGGGCACGGTGGCGGGCGCCTGTAGTCCCAGCTACTCAGAAGGCTGAGGCAGGAGAATCGCCTGAACCCAGGATGCAGAGGCTGCAGTGAGCCGAGATCTTGCCACTGCACTCCAGCCTGGGCGACAGAGCGAGACTCCATCTCAAAAAAAAAAAAAGATATATTAGCTACACTTTCTCTTGGACTATCACTTTATCACAGAATCAATTTAGCCATTTACTTTCTTTTAGGCAGGCTTTTCCTTTCACCAGACATTTTAAAGTCCTCTTTAACAACTTCTTAAACTCTCTGGAGTTTAGTTTTTATTGTCCAGACATTTGTCTTAGAGTCAACCGACATAAAGCTAAGAGATTACTTCAGTGGAGATCGACATTTTTTTAGCTGGTTTCTCAGAGTAAGACCAATAATCTAAGGTCCTTAAACCCTGATTAAGCCTCTGATTTCCCTTCTATTTTAGCCCTAGATTCTTCTCTTTCTCACCCTTCATACCTTGGATGCATCTAATACACTCATTCCTTCTCATAGTTTTAATTACCTGGGTTAGTTTCAAATCAATCACCAGCCTTAAAATCATCAACAGAATTTTTAATCCTGCATTCCCAATGTTCTGTTATTTTCATCTATGTTTCTCCAAACTTTCAAACACAGTGTGTTCTAAACCAGTAGCTTTCAAATCTTTCTATATCTAGATTCCATTGTGTAGCCCAAGTCTTAAAGAGAAACCCAATATTTAATCAGATTAAAATTAACAAAATAGCATGTACTTATTATAAAGTCTTTAAATGTGATAACTAGACTGTTTGTTACATACATACATACAGTTGTGGATGATAGCTCAGCTAGATTTCTGTAACTCGTTTTGCATGTAGATTGTTTTAGTCCATGTGGCTGCTATAACAGAACCCCTGAGACTGGGTAATTTATAAAGAGCAGACATTTATTTCTCACAGTTCTGGATGCTGGAAAATCCAAGAACACAATGTTAGCAGGTTGGTGGTATGATGAAGGCTGCTTTCAGCTTCCAAAATAGCCTCTTATTGCTGCATCCTCTGGAGAGGAAGAATACTTTGTCCTCAAATGGTGGAAGGAAGAAGGGCAAGAAGGGAACAACTCCCTCTAAAATTTCTCCATCAAGCCTTTTTATAAGGGCATCCAATCTATTCATTAGGATAGGAGACTTCATGATGTAGTTACCTCTTAAAGGCCCCTTCTCTTAGGGCCATTACATTGGCAACACCTGAATTTTGGAAGGCAAATATTCAAATCATAGCATGGAATGCAGATATATAGTGTGTCCATGTTAGCAGGCCTAAATTCACAAAATAACATTGAGGAGCAACAGTCTCTGATTAATATTTTATAAGAATTCTAGATTGGTAGATATAGAGAAAACATGCAGCTTTATTCTTAGTCTTCACACATTAAAAATGGGTTAGTGTGGAGACACAGGTTTAAAGCCATTCGTTGCTGTCAATGAGATAAAATTTATATATTATGCATTTAAATGAGGGTATTATTTTATATCAACATTTATAATAATTTCTTTTTAAATTAAGTGCAGTGACTTTCATAAGGCCTGAAATACATCTAAGGACCGATAATAATTCCTAAAACACAGCTTTAAACCCATTCTTCTATTTCTATACTATGGTCATTATTCCTTATCAAAAACTCTTTTCTGTCCCTTCTATATTATTTTAGTAAAATGATTATTGCCTCTTAATTTCTCTTCATATATAATCATTAAATCATGTTATTCTAACTTCAATGTGCTCAAATTTCATTCTGTTCTTTCTTTTTTACTGTGTTAGAGTGACCCATGATTTAGTTTGGATGTTTGAACCTTCCTAATCTCATGTTGAAATTTGAGTCCCAATGTTGGAGTCATGGCCTGGTAGGAGATATTTAGAACATGGGAGTGGATCCTTCATGAATGGCTTGGTGCCATCTTCCTGGTAATAAGTGACTTCTCACTATATTAGTTCTCTTGAGATCTGATTGTTAAAAGGAACTTGGCCTCTCCTCCACTCTCTCTCTTTTTCTTCTCTCCTACTATATGATACCTCTTCCCCTTTCCCTTCTGCCGTGATTGAAAGCCCCTTGAAGCCCTCACCAAAAGAAGATGCTGGCACCATGCTTCTTGCAGAGCAGAACCATGAGCCAAATAAATGTTTTTTCTTTATAAATTACCCAGCCTCAGATATTCCTTTATAGCAACACAAAGAGGGGAATACAACCCATATCTAAACCATTACCTCATATTTGAAGTATCAGCATAGCTTCTTATATGGCCTTCCTCTTCTCTACCATCTTTTCTTCCAGTTTATGCTGCACAGTGCAATCTGATGAAAACACTACTATTCTCATGTTTATTCTTTACTCACAAAACTTCAGTAGCCTTCTACTATCCAGAAAATAAATGGATAAATGGAGTAAAATAGGTATGTCTTCTAGAAAAACAATGCCAAACACTTCTGCTTGACTTCTCACATGGCTTGTTGCTTAAATTCTTTACTCTTGACACTTTAACAGAAGACACACACACGTACACACACATACTGCTATGTGCCTCCTAGTCACAAACTAGAAAACCAGTGTCTGAAAAGGTTTCTAATGTGCCTTTGTTATATCTCCCAAATGAGTTGAATTGAAGGGGAAACCACATGGAATAAAGTTAAATGAACAAAATATTTGATTACAGTAAAATTTGACATTTCTATTCACCCGAAAGTAACATAATCACAATTAAAAACAAATAATCTGATTTAGAATTATTCTTTCTCCCTCCTTTGACTCAGCCCTGCATAAATTACAGAAGATAGGAGGAATCAAGGATTTGAAAAACCAATGCACACCTGAGAGCCCCAGACTGACTGAAAGTATCTGGGAAAGTGTGGAGACGGACCCTGGTACAAGTGGCATTAGCACCTGGCTAAGCGTGCCTCATCTCATCTTGGAGGAAATATTTTGGAAGAGAGGTACTAAGTTTTATTCTTCCCTCCAATCATTGCTGGTCCCATCACCATAAGAATTCCCTCAAGCCTAGGTTGCTTGGTCTTGGAAAAACAAATGAATACTGAAAATAACTCAAGGGTAACACAAAAGTACTGCTGGAGCAAGGAGCTGATGTAAACAGTTATGGAAAGATGAGCTTCCCTCAGGTATTCATTCTTTGCCTCCTCTCTGTTCCAAACAACAGGTTTTACATCAAACCAAGGAAATGACCTTTTCTGAATCTGCTTCTGTCTAAGATGACTTTAAGGGTGAATCCTTCTGTGTCTAATGGTCTATAGACTGGGTCTGTAGTGCCTGGGGCTGTGTGCACTGGTCTCCTCTCCTGCCCTTTCCTTAAACTTACAGAGATGACAGGTACTACCAAGCCTTTAGCTTTTCCCCAATACACATTACATGTCAGAACAGGAAGACATTCTGAGTATATAGAATTGCAAGGCAATATGAATAGACTCAGGAGAACAATCCTTCCAACAAAGAAAGCAAAAATAACGATGAATATCACAAAACACAGTTACAAAAATAAATAATTTTAGACAAGCTTGATAAATATTCTCAAAAACAAAAAGATGAATATTAGTAGCGTGAAGTAGGAAGAAATCATAAATAGGAAATGAAAATGTTAGTTCTGCCAAGTAAAACAGCTGCAATAGTTTAGAATAATTGTAGGATGAAAATAGTTAAGAAATAAATTAATGCACTTAGTTATATTGAAGAACTCTTCCCAAAGGTAGCATGAAAGGTAAATGAGAAGTAATACATTAAAAAAAGCTAAGAGATATGGATGATAGAAACAGAACTACCAACATATGAAAAATAGAGGTATTAGAAAAAGATCATATGAGGTAAAAGTAGAACTTATAATGAAATACAAGGACATTAGAAAGTTCTAAAAGTTTTCTACAAAGAAGACAGAACCAGATCCATATGAAAATTCTTAACAGTAACTTTAGTGGCAAGAAAGCAATGAAGTAATATTTTTGAAGTATTTAAAGAAATCAAATCAACCTATAATTTTTAAACCAGTCAGATTTTAATTTAAATCTGAAGCATACACACAGCAAGACTACCTCTCCAGCTTTCTTTGAGGTTAGGTGTTGCCCTGTAGTTATATTTCAGCCAAGAAAAAATGGGCAGAAGTATGCCACTTTCAGGCCTGGACCTTAAAAGTCATGTGTGATGTTCATGTCCCACGTATGTTGGCCAATATTGATGCTCAAGGCAAATTTGGGAGCTATGTATTGGAGGTAGCATTGACTGTCAGTCCTGGTCTCTGAATGGCCTTGAGGAACACACCTACCTGTCTGGAGTTAATCACTCTTTGTGTGAGATAGAAAGTATTTTATATTTTACTAAATCATTGATGATTTGTGAAATATCTAGGATTTTCTAGTAGCAGTTATGTTATCTTAGTACAAAGAGTTTTACACTCCCGTAAAAAACATCAGAGAAAAAAGATATAATGGTCATACACATATGTGTACCTAATGATGTACTTCTAAATATATATAAATCAACAACTGCTGAACTGCAGAAAAATAAATAAAACAATAATTATACTTGAAGATTTTAGTCTATTCCATTCCAAAGCTGAAGATGATGCAAACAAAAAAATTAGCAGAGATCAAATCAATAAGCTTGAACTATTTGTTATTGCTAGGCTTTGTTTGACGTATGCACTTAACGGAAAATGTTTATTGTTTTCAAACACACGTGAACTATTTTAGAAAGTGCATGAGGCATGAGGCCATAGAGAAAACTTCAGTAATTCCCCAATTCAATATCTTATACACTATGATGAACTGGTACAAACCATAATGTAGAAAAATTAGAAATTAATAACAAAATGATTTTAAAATCCAGTATTTTCTTTATTTTCAATTACTACTTTTGTCTACTTTAGGAATTGAGGTTATATAAGCCTCATGAAATTCATGAAATTAACTGGGAAATTTTGCTTCCTGTATTTTTTTTCTGCAAATGCTTGTAGTAGAGAGAAATTATTTCTTAGAAGCTGGTAAAATGTATCTAAAATTGTCTTAACCTAGAATTTAGGGAGGAGATAGTGTTGGGTGAATATATTAATTTACTTAAGGTTTATTGGCCATTTCAATTTTATATTTATTCTCCGTCTTAAAGTTTGTTTCTGAAAATGTATGTTTTTCATCTAGACTGTTAAATTAATTAGCATGTAATATGTTTGCATTTGTAGCTGTGTGTTTACATAATTGCCAGGGATTGAGTTAATCATGTTTGAGGTTCAAGGTACGACATCATTTATGGCCATGTAAGATCTCTCTGTTTTGCTCCTTTATATATTCTCTTTTACTTTTTTGTCTAAATACCTACGTTATCCACTTTGACATCCACTCAAATGTGTTTATTTAGTACATTTTTCTTTGCATATTACATTAGATATTATATAAAATTTATATTATATTGTGTGCATACATATTTTAATTTAAATAATGTCATGTTATATAAGTCACATTTTGCACTGAGCTCAATTTTTTAAGATCCTTCCATATTGCTCTGTGTACACCTAATCTGTTTCATTTAATTGCTGCATAATAATCCATAGTGTGCTTCCACCGCTTTTCACCTATCTACTTTCCTCTGCTGGACAATCCAGGTTCTTCTATTCCCTGCCTTCCCAAATGGCACTGCAATAAGTATACTTAACATGTGTCCTTCATGAAGGGCCTGCATGAAGATTTCTCAGCGAGAAATGCTCAGAAAGAGGTAGGCTATAATGTTTATGTGTGCTTAATTTGACTAACTACATCCACACTACCCCCGCTATCAGGGCACAATAATTGCTACATTCCCATATCCCACCAGCACTTAGGATTATCAAGCTTTCTAATGTTTTGCCAGTTCTATAGGTTTAAAGTGCAATTGCCCCTCCATATACATGGGGCATTAGTTCCAGGACCCTTGTACATACTCAAATCCATGCACACTCAAGCCCTGCAGAAACCAGCTATATACAAAAAGTCAAGGCCGCCTTATGCAAGGGATTCACATCCTATGAATACTGTATTTTTTTTATTTTATTTGGTTGAGAAAAATGTGCTTATAAGTGGACCCATGCAGTTCAAACCTGTGTTGTTCAAGGGTCAACTGTAATACCTTATTGTTATTAATTTCATACTGTAATTACTTATGACTTCAAACATGCCAGCGATGCAAGTTGGGCTTTATCTGGGTCCTTACTTGTCGTATATCAAGGTTCATGATTGATTACCGAACAGCAAATGGAACAGATTGAGGAATAGGCTTTCTTTGAAGGAAAAAGTGGAAACTCACAAGCCCACGTCTAGCAAGAAGGTAAGAATAGGTGTGGGTTTCCCAGCTGTCATCATCCCACAGAGAAGCATGCCCCATCCTTTGTCGGTTAGACTGCCTGTAGGTCTGCAGTCCAGGGGATAATACTCTCCCCGGTCACTCTCCCTTCTTATAGGGCCGGGAGGAAAGCATCCTTGCCATAGGCAATAGTGGTCTGGACGTAGATGGCAACTTTTTACAGTTGTCTGGGAAAGATAGCTGTCCAAAACTTAAAGACCTTGGACAAATCCATGGATTTGTACAGCAACACCACCTGGTCAGTGACTTATATCAGAATTTTATAAAAATCGTTCTGCTGACTCATTTCCTTGGCAATGAACTGTGTTCTTTCCATTCTGCCCAGTGAGTGGCTGTCCTCAACCCATGTCTTTAATAGCAACTCTGAGGAGTGACTTAGCAGTCTGTGGCTCTCCTTTGTTCTTATGCCTGGAGTGCTGAAGAAGGCTCTGTTTATGAGGTGGATTAGTTAGGGTCCAGTAAAAAAATAATAATAACAGAAAACCTTTTAATATTTCAAATAGAGGGAATGTGATATAGGAACTTTCCTTCACAGGAGTTGAAAAAGCTGAGAGAGCAAAAAGGTAATGGAGAGATGACCTAAATATTAGTAATGTAGGAAATGGTTTATGACTCTTAGGGCTGTGGAAACAAAAGAGAGGATTGGATGTTTTCTGAGCACAGAAGTATGAAAGAGGGACTACATAACTTGGTACCAGAACCATGGAGAAGAGGTCCCCATGGCCAACACGGATTTTCTGAAGAGATATAACCTCTTCCAGAAACATTTCCAGAGCAGAGACAGAACAAAAGAGATAAACCCTTCTCTCTTCCTACCTTTGATCTTCCACTGGGGTCTTTTATTTGTAGAAGAAAACTGTACAAAGGAAACTAAGTAATATAATTTGAATGCTCTTGGCCCCCAAATTGCAGAAGAAGTAGAGAAATACAGCTAAAGAATGCCAAGAGATAGTAGGTAATGATGGACATGAGGAAACATGGGCATGAGGTTTTAGATTTGATATAATTTTAAAAGAACAATACCAGGAGATTTGTAATTAGTTTCATCTGGGAAATGCTTTAATCCAATGTCTATTCTTGTCCCAGAAAGCCCTAAGCCTGTGCTAATAGACAACTTGGTCAGACCTGTAAAGTTTCTATTGCCTAATATGTCTTAATTTAAAAGTGAAAGGGAAAAAACCTTATCTTTTGTTCTCCTTCATATTCCTAAACCTAATCCCAGTTTTAATGTCTTGATGTATATTCTGACCCATAAGCCAAAACCCTAGCCTGCCCCCTGTTTTGTATGGCCCATGTGCTAAGAGTGATTTTTGCATATTTAAATAGCTGAAAACATTTTCAAAATAATGGTAATATTTCATGGCATGTGAAAGTTGAACAAAATTCAAATCTTAGGGTCCAGAAATAAAGTTTTGGATTGTGCCAACCAAAAAACATCATGACGTGGGCTCAACCAATGAGCCTCTGTGTTATGAAATTCATTATGGAGTAATTACATCATCACTTTTCCTAGCTGGGATGCAGAAAAAAACCTTTTGCAGCATCCTGGGAGAATTGATTTCTCCAGACAGTCTCTTTCCAGTCATCATAATGCTATTCTCTCCCAACCAGAACATTACCTGGTGCAAAAGTCATTGCAGTTTTTACCATTACTTTTAATTATTTTTAATGGCAAAACTTGCAATTACTTTCACAGCAACCTGATGCATGAATGGGGCCATAGCATAGAATCCTGAACTAGCTACAGAGCACCGGAGCTGGATTTCTGTCCTTACCACTCCACTGATACTGCTTCTATCAAGGAAACTGAGAAACCATCATGTTGCCAAATCCAAGGGTCCCATCCCAACTCGCATTGTACTTATTCACTCATCGGCATTCAGTAAAGTTGATCACAAACTACTACTTAAGAGATTTTCTTTTCTCATATCTTCCCTGGCTCCACCTTCCCGGTTGAGCCACCAAGCTGCCTGTTCCTTACTGATTTATCATCCTCTCTTTACCCTCTAATTTAACACATCTCAGTTCAATGTCCCTGCGCCTTCCTTGCACATCTGAACACTCTCATGCAGGCCATATCTCTTGTATGCCAATGACTTCAAAATTTATCTGTGTCTAGCATTAGCCCTGGATTTCATATGTATGTATTCAACTGCCTACTTAATATATCTATACATATTTGTTTCCCAGATACTTCAAACATGAAGTGCCCCAAACAGAATTCCTGATTCTCTATATTCCTAAGCAACTCCTTCTCAGTTTCCCAGTCTCAGTCAATAAGAACATGAACTGCCCAGTTGTCCATGCCTCAAACCTAGTAATCACTTTTTTCCCTCTTTCCAAATCACTATATACACAAGTCTTTTCACTCTACCTTCAAATAATTCCCAACTCCCCTTTCTTTGATATTTCTCCATATTACTACCTTAATCCAAGACGCCATCATTGCTCATCTGAATTTCTATAGTGATGACTGATCTCCTTAGCTTCCACTGTTCTTCCATCCCCATCTATCCACCACCAGAGCAGCCAAAGTGTCTTTTCAAAATATGTATCAGGCCTGGACATTGCTGCTTATAATTCTCTAGTTATGTCCCATAAACCCTGAAACAGAATCCAGTCTCCCCACTTTGGCATTTAAGGCCCTCCCTGGCCAAGGACATCACCTTGTCCTCTTCTCTGTTTCTTCCTTCTCCCATTCTTTCACTATGTTCCTGCTTCATTGACCTTATTTCTGTTTCTGAAACATTCCGAGTAATTCTCACCTAAGGACTTCTGCATTAGCTCAGCTTAAACATCATCACCACCTTGGAGAGTTCTTCCTTGAATAGAGAATGTAAAGTTGTTCCCAGAACTCTATTATACACTCAATATTTTTTCATGGTATTTGTGAATTACTAACATTTCTGATACTTTTTGGCCTGTTTATTTCCTTGGTTTTTAAATCACCCATTTAAGTATGAAGTCAAAGAATTATGTTGGGAATTGCAATTTACAAAGTACACATTGATAATATTTTCAGGTTTTATATAAAAAATTTTATTATGTTTTTAATTCAAAAATTATCATGCCAATAAAGTGCTTCTTTCTAATGAAGTCAGTGTGTTATACCAAGTTTTAGGCAGATGGAAATACAGTGCATTGTTCTAACATGATATATATACACATCTATATCTGTTTAATAATCAAGACATTGTTGATTTAACAACATCTAAAATAATCTTCTAAACAAGGAGATCGTATTTCAAATTAATGTACTTATCATTAACCACCATATTCTAAAAAAATTTTAAGCCCCTATTATTTTTAGCACAGTGGCTATGTTTGATATTTCATATTGTAGCTCATATACTCCTTTATTTAATTGTACTATAATCACATTGCTGAATTTTAAAATTAAATATATAAGTAATTTTATGACATAAGCCAGTATGCAATAAAATTTATTATTATTATTAAAGTGTTCTATGTATTCATATTAAGAATTACTCTGTAATGATTTGGCATCTAAAGTGCAACATTATTTGCTTCCAGGATTCATTGTTTAAAATATAACTTCATTCAGATTTAAAAAACTTCTAGATGCATATTGTATTGAAATGTTACACAGTTTAAGATAACGTACTAACTGCTATATGCAGGACAGTTCCCTTGGTGGCCTTGGATGGACTCACGTTCTGTCCTCCACCGTCCCACCCCCTAGGTTCTCATGTGTCGTTCTCAAGAATAATTGTAGAATGTGCTTGGAATGTAATAGCCAAGACAAGTGGAGAACTGGCTAGAACAGCCCAGACTCTGTTGCAGGTCCCCAGCCCCAGAAGCAGAGGGTCCTCACCGCCCTGCCTTACTATGCTTTAACGTCTTAGTGCATTGAACCAAGTGGCCCCAGGATGTGAAACCTAGGGTGACTGCTTTCCAGGCCCTCAGCTGCTGTTCAAGAGAGGCATGCAGAGTTGATATTCCATCTGCCCCAGGCAGCTTTCTTGAACTTTGAGGAACCTCTTTGAAATGAATCCAAGGCTTCTTTTGTCCGTTGCTGCCTATCTGCAAGTGATAAACTCGCTTCATGTAACTTGTGTTTGTGGGTCTTCTGTCTCACTAGACTCAGAGAAGTTGGTATTCAGTGCGCAGTGACCTGCTTCACGCTGTATTATTTCATCACAGATGTCAGGATTAAAGAAAACCGGAGCTGTTAGTAGAGAAACTATAATAACACTATTCTGTATCATTAAATGGAATATTGAAAATTTTGATGGAATACCAGAAAAAAAGAGAAGAGTAATCAGAGCTATTACTTTCAGCAAACTACAAGTACAGGTATGTCACCAACAGGGCAAGATATAAATTTATCCTCTACCTCCATATCAACCACATCTCATGAATTTGAAGAAAAACTGGAAGAAAAAAAATGACCTGTTACACACAGGTGCTTTCTACTAATGCAGATACATGACTATTTATTATTATTACATAGTTAATTATTATATATAATTTATAGAACAGTTATGTAAATTATGTATGTTATAATGTATACTTTATACAATTGTTATATAAATGATATAGTGACTTGAAATATATTTTATTTGAGGAACAAAAAAATGCTTTTTAAAAACTCAGTGGTGTCATGTGGGCTGGTAGCAGCCCTTTCTGATCAATTTCTAACTTCATCAGGAATTGTTTGCTTTTTAAGGAACATAACTTACTCAAGTTGGTTTAAATTAAAACAGGAAATTTATTTTTGTAGAAAGGGAAGCTTTATGGAATGAAAGAACTGGGAATGAAACTGTCTTCATGACAGCCTGAAACAAGCACCTGGAGAGTACCCCACACTGAAGGTGCCCAGGTACTCTCTTGCTGCTCACTTTCTGGGGCTGCATGGTCACTTGTCTCTGCTTTACTCTGTGCCTGTCTCAGGCTTCTCTCTCTTTCTAAAAACCAACATTCTTTACTGCTGTTATACATGACAAATATAGTCAATGTAGTCATGTGTGCACACTTGCTAGATCCTCTTTGTCCTCCTTCCAAGTTACTAAAGGACAATTTCTAGCTGGTTCAGTTTGGGCCAGCCAGCTCTGGCTAAAAGGGCTGGGCAGTGTAGTGAGGACCCACTTGGCAGGGACCATGAGGTCTCACTTCATGGGCAGCACAGGCAGATGTCTCACAGAGTACCGGCTCTATCTCTTATCACAGAGGATTTTTTTCTGCCCTGCAATACAGGGTAGTCACCCTGCCCTGCATGAAACCAAAGTCTCTTAAGCTTCAGCACCGGACTTCTTATGGAGTCATGGAGCTCTTTTAGCTCCGGCAAATCCTGCTGTTTTTCAGTTTTCAGAGGGATTAATATGGGTGGAGACCTCAAGAGTGCTCACTTCATGTTGATAATACATTCCTAGATTTCTGGCAATCTAGGAACACTGTAAATGAAAGGTCTTCTGTCTATAAAATTATTTTTGGCTTCATGGACCACCTAAAAGGGTTTCAGGGACCCCCTCCACCCCGCAACAGAGGTACATGGACTACACCTTTGGAACTGCTGGTTTGCATTATTCAAATTTTCCTAAGGGTTTATTTTAAGAATAAAAGAATTTCTAATGGAGTCAAAGGGCTAGAACTGGAAATGAAGGATGAGCTGTTGCATATAAGTGACTGGAGGGAAGAGATTAGGAAGTTGAAGCATGATGTCATGCTTAAAATTTTACCAGTCTTGCCAAGCCTTATGGATTTATGCCTGAGTCTATGCAAGCAAGCCTATAGGCAGAATCTGAAGGAACTGTACACATAGGGATTCTGTGAGATGTGGGGGCCTTCTCATCTTTCAGTGCATGGAGGACCTCAATATATACAGGGCTATTTGGAGCATCAAGAAATAAAATCCTTGTTATAGACATCAGCATTCTCAGGGCAAGAACTGCCAGATAGAGTATTAATAGTTGTGGGATGCCCTCATGGGTTGTGGAGAGAAATGGGCATCTCCAAAGGGTTAAAGCAGAACATGGATTACAACACTTTCATGCTCTCATATGTGACATCCCCAGAGACTCTCAGCGGTAATTTTATGTTATTTTAAATTATGTGAAAGATACGATATTACTAGGTGGATCCAGAGGCCAGGGAGATACTAATGTTACCTCATTTGTACTCAGAGCTGGAAGGAATGAGGTGCATGGTCCTCATCTATTTAAATACATTGCCTCTTTTTACTTTCAAGATTGCAAAAAAAATCTTTAGTTGACACACTACATTTTTTATCAGTAATTTCAAGTTTAATATTTACATAGTCTCAGTAAATTTGTGTTAAATAATTGCATCTCTGCTCTGTACCATTTTCTGATCGGTAATTAACAAGACTGTGGTCCCTTCCATTTAACAGGAAACAAGGCAGAAAATGGACCATGCCCAATTTTTGATTTTTCTCTCCCCTAGAATTGGTTCTTATAATGAATCTTGAATTGTTCTTTTCCTGGCAGCAGTCACTTGGGTTTCCTGGCAACTGTCACTTGGGTTTCCAAAGTATATTCAAACCCAGTTTATGGGATGCCAGCATAAATGTCCTGTGAAAACACAGGATGCATCAAGTATGAGTAAAATGCCTAACTCATGACTAACTTATATTCATGGAAGAGCTCTTTTTCTACTGGGGAGAAAAACAATTATTTCCTGGCCTTGGTTTCAGTCAGCTTCATTGCTAAAACAACCCAAATTGTTTCTACTTTATAACAGTTTTCAAAGGCAAGAGAGAAAATGTGTTGCCAAGGAGACCCATTGTGTGCAGAGGAAGGAGGAGTAATGATACCTGTGACCATGCAGCTATAATTTCCCCTGCCTCCATCTCTTGACCTGCAAGAGCTCACAAAAGATTGAGGTAATGTGAAGACATTGATAAATCCCTCATGGTCTTCAGATCGTATTTCATACCAATTCCTCTCAATCCAGTAACTTTGACATATATTTGATGTAACTTCCTTGATAGCAACAAGAAATAGCCCAGCATGAGCAACCAGAGGTCACAGTTTTGCAATAATTTTACTTCTTGTGTGGAAGGTAATTTACTCAGAGCCCTAATGTACCTGGGAAATAATCAGACACAGTATGTTGGTTTACATTGGAGTTATCTAAGAACTTCAAGAGACATATACTTCAGGGCCATTGTATCCTGAAAAATCATGGTGGTCTTCCATGTTCATCAAGCTTCTGTCCTAAAGTTACAAGTCCTAATGTTTTCTCCTTTTTTAAAATAATTGTATTTTAAATATCACTTAATTAACTCATTTTTTTATTTCCATAGTTAGAAAAACCTAAAATTCCTAAGGCAAATGAAACAGGTAATGTTCCACACACTAGCTATGTGAAATTATGCTGTAAAAGGAATAATTTTGCCCAGAATCTGCCGACAGAATGAGAAATATGAGAAGGTAGTAAAGAGAGGTTCTTTCTGAGGTAGAGAAGTTCAGATGGAAATGAACTTAGCCTGAGGTGGCCAAAGGAGGCAAATTCACAGGGAAATCTAAAATTGAAATCTTGAAGGGAAACCAAAGATCATGGTAATTAAGTAGTACTGAGTTTCAGACCAATCATGAAAGCAAAATTAAAAGGAGAGACATTAATTGAGAGCAACAAGGTCTATGACACTCAATGTTGAATTAAAATTGTGTGGACTGAGTGGCTGTTGCAGAACACTTCCCTGTGTTGTTGGATGTATCACATGGAGCAGGAGGGATGGCTTGCTAATACTATCAATGATCAGACAAGAATGAAAAGTGAGTTGCTCTAATATTTACTTTAAGTCACAGAGCCATTTTCTTATTATTTTAAAAAATCTCTCTGTATGAAAGAAATGTCACTATACACTGTACAAGGGGGTTCTATTTGGTCAAAGGCTATCAAATACCAAAACCCATTAAAATTCAGGACTTTCTAATGAACCTATTTAGAATGGGAAACAAGTCCTTTGGTAACTGGCATATTTTGCTGAATCAGTTGTGACTCTCCTTTCATGTTATTTTGAAAATAGCATTATGAGTGTTTGCCTCAATAAACACACTCACTACATTAATTGTAAATTTATTGAATTTAAGGACACTTTGCAATTGTAAAAATACTTGCTTAGTTTTACATTACAGTAATATATAGCATTACCATCTATTTTCAATGGTACTTTTCTTTTTTTAAAATAAAAGTTCTCTCTGGAAATCCAAAATTGACTAGATCACATGAGTCACTGAGACCTGACAACACTCATGGTATACCCTCTGTTTTGCATTGCTATAAAGGTATACGTGGGGTTGGGCAATTTATAAGGAAAGGAGGTTTATGTAGCTCATGACTCTGCAGGCTGTACAAGAAGCATGGGTGCTGGCATCTGCTTCCAGTGGTGGCCTCAGGCTGCTTCCGCTTATAGCAGAAGGCAAAGGGAAGTCAGTGTGGGCAGAGATCACATAGTAAGAGAATAGAAAGATGGGTGTGGAGGGAGGTGCCAAGCTCTGTTTAACAATCATCCCTCATGGGAACTAACAGAACAAGAGCTCAACTCATTACCAAGGCATTCATGAGGGATTTGCCCCTATGATCCCAACACCCCCCATTAGGCCCCACCTCCAAACCTGGGGATCAGATTTCAACTTGAGGTTTGGAAGGTCAGATATCCAAGCTAACATACCCTCCCTTGTGGAAGTTTTTGGTGCTAGAGGAGCACAGCACACTATTTGCTGTAAGAGAGACACTGAAATTCCTTCTGCACTAGTACTTCACATGCTCACAAATATATTCTGGCTACAATACTTTTTAATGATTGACTCTAAGGGTCAATAAGTGTCTCAAAGCCATTAGACTGAACCTACTTCAAGGGCCACTTCTTCTTTTTTTTTTTTAACCTGGCAAAGTTCTCAACAGAAAAAAAAAATGACACATGACTAGAATCTGAAAAAAATAATTAAATGAATAAATGAATAAGCAAATGAGTGAAAAGTATGCATTCCAAAATACCTACAGATGGGCTGCTTATTTTATGCTAATGGTACCTCAGTCATTGGGATTTTGTTTGATATATGTATAACACGATGGATCACTTCTAACACATGGTCACAGTTTGAGTATATCTCATCTCAATTAGGACAAAACATACTACCATGGGAAGACTAATGTTCCTCAATTAAACGCATGCTCAAGATATTGATACAGACTGAGGTTTACTCAACAGAAAAAAATGCATGTATTTAATCTGCAGATATGACAAGCTATAGATTCTGCAGAATCCCAGTTATCATTCAAAGTATTGGCAATCCATTTTATCAACTCATAGCCAGAAGTGGACAAGGGCAGGTTGGCCTCTTTTTTCAGACATGTGATTACACCCTCTGCAGAGCTGCTCTCTGAAAATTTTCTGCTTGTGGGTAGGATTTCACCACTTACCCCTAAAATACCGGGGGTCCTAGGAGAAGTGCCCCCTGTCCTTTCTTCATTACTGCTACTGCTGCTTTCTTCATGCCATGACCTTCACGACCCTCCTTTCCCCTTCTTCTCTCTCAGGCAGCCAGCAGCTTTCAAACAAACCCTGAGAACCAAAATCTAGCCAGAAATGCTTCCTGTGACTTTCCAATGGATCTTCCCACCATAATGCAGATTTGCAGGTCTATGTCACATATAGACAAAAAAGATGGGATTGCAATAATTACAAGGAGAGATTTATTACTGTTATTTTAAAGGAAAACAAAATGTGAAATAGATTCTGGTAAGCTCAATAGCAGTAATTTGGGAGCGATTGAAACCACAAGCAGGCCTCGTGACCATAGACTATGTGGCTTATAAACAACAGAGATTTGTTGTTCACAGTTCTGGAGGCTGGAAAGTCCAAGATCAAGATGCCAGCAGATTTCTTGTCTGGTGAGGGCCTACTTCCTTATAGACAGCCTTCTTCTCATTTTAACCTCACATGGAGGAAGCATTGAGGTGTTTCTCTCAGGCCTCTTTTAAAAGGGCACCAATCCCATGCATGACCTCATCATCTCCCAAAGGCCCCTCTCCTAACACCATCACTTTAGGAGTGAGGATTTCAACATATGAATTTTGGGAGTACATACACGTCCAAGCGGGAAACTAAAGGAATCACATATGCTCTGCCTTTCTTCTAATCTTTTTTTTTTAACTTCTATGTTTTAGATTACAGTATATTTGCTGAAGGAAAATGCACTGTCTTTTAGCCAAGAGATCTGGAAACAGAAGAAGTAGAAATTTGGAATGAAGAGAAGAGACAAGAAGAACTAGCCAAAAAAATGTCAAATGAAAATTTTGTAAGCACCATTAGTTTTTTTAAAAGCAATTTGCATACTTGAACCGTAAACTTGTGCTAAAGGCAACTCCATAAGCAGTTATAAAAATTACAGAACTAAAAACTACCATTTGATCCAGAAATTCTAGTACTCAATATCTACCCAGAGGAAAATAAGTCATTACATGAAAAAAACACAGGCATACACATGTTTATAGCAGCACAATTTGCAATTGCAAAAATATGGAACCAACCTAAATGTCCACCAACCAACAAGTGGATAAAGAAAATGTGGTGTATAAATACCATGACATACTACTCAGCCATAAAACTGAATGAAATAATAGACTTCACACCAACTTGGATGGAGTTGGAGGCCATTATTCTAAGTGAAGTAACTCAGGAATGGAAAACTAAATATTGTATGCTCTCACTCATAAGTGGGAGCTAAGCTATGAGGATGCAAAGGCATAAGAATGATATAACGGACTTTGAGGACTTAGGGGGAAGGGTGGGTGGGGGGTGAGAAATAAAAGATTACATATTGGGTACAGTGTACACTGCTCAGGTGACAGGTGCACCAAAATCTCAGAAATCACCACTAAAGAACTTAACTGTGTAACCAAAAAACCACCTGTTACCAAAAACTATTGGATTTTTTTAAATGTCCTTATTTGAAAAATAAAATTAAATAAAGTAAAATAAAATAAATGCCTAACAAGAGGAATAATTAAGTAAAATATAATTCAGTCCCATAACATAAAACACCATACAACAATTAACTGTGATCATAGCCATTAATATTTACTAGCATGAATATCTATTTCTAATACATTCTTACTATATGAAAAAATCAATCTCATCCTTGAGTTAAGAAAATGTATTTTCTTTGAAACTAAAACCTTAATTTTCCCACATAATCACTGTTCTTAATACTGAAAATTACACTGAGGTAAGAAAAGAGCACATTTATTCTGCATAGTGTTTGCTTAATGAAGATATTTATAGCATGTTTTTTCTTTTATTTCTCTGAATCTAGAGAACATTTTGGATACTCAAAAAGGTGATGATTTTGAAAATGTTTTCCACTGAATAAGACTATTAAATGTGGTTCATTACAACACTATCTCCTAAGAATGCAATATGGTTTGCAAAGCAAATGGAATCTTTGCTTTGAGAAAGCTATGAAATTTGAGAAAGTTATGAAATTTGTTTCTGTCAGGGGCCTGGCTTAGAAGTTAGATACACAGGTTTTGTAATAAAAATTATAAGGTTTTAAAAGTCATAACTATCTATTAATATTTTACTGAAACATCTGTGCATTGGGTTTTGATTCAAGAAGAGTTTTTCAAGAAATTGTGTATGTTTCAGAATATTTGACTTTTCTACATTATTCAGCTTCCTATCTAAGTGAGCTTAAGCTCTCATAATAATCATGACATTACTTGTTGGTAAATTCCTTTGATTAGGAATACATGTGTTCTTAGAAACCTATGAGAGCATTGGTAAAATACAATAATTCATCTGTCATTTTAATTCAGCCAGGAATTTTTAAACCCTCCCCAAATAATTAAAATGTAGTTTTCCTAGCTCATCTCAAGTTAGAAATGCTTGGTGGCAGTGTTGACATATCTGTTAAACCAGTCCATTTCCCCTAAACTCCTAGGCAAATAGTTTGGCTATATTTCCTGATCTCCCTTACAGCGGTGTGTGCTGTGCCACTGAATTGTAGCCATGGAATGTGCGCTGAAATGATATGTGCCTCTTTCAGGCCTGGCCAATGAAACTTTCCAAATGTGATTCTCCATGGTCTTTCCCCTCTGTAGGGACTTTGGAAGCCACATAAAGATCAGAGAGCCACAAAACGGAAGGTGCCTAGATCAGGAACAGCTACTTTAAACTGAATGTAAGGAGCAATCAATTTGTATTAAGGATAAAATTTGAGGGTTCGCATGTTACTACAGTTAGCATTACTTTAACTAACAGATGCTTGTAAACAGAAATCTTTAAAAATCGTGACTTGAAAGCAACAGGAGGTAGTAGAAATATATCAAAGATAAAGCACACTTAGGGAAAAAAACATTTGGAAAAGACAGTGAGATGTATTTTACCCAACTACGTTTATCCTTGTGTACTCGAATATTGTATTACAAGATAGCTAATCACGTTGCTCAAAAGACTTATTTTTTCATTGGGACATTACTCCCAACCACTTTTTAATATTCCCAGAATGAGTTAGAGAAGAAAATACAATGACCAGCTATGTAGCTATTTCTTTGGCATCAGCTTTCTCTCTTTTATCTGTCCTAATGCATGCCATTGTATAAATTATTATTTGGTTAACATTTGTGCTGTTTACAGAACAATCCAAATTGGATACCACAGTCTGGGAAATGACCTTGGGCTACAGAGACAAGCTAAATAGCAATTTCTTCCGTCTCATACTGAGAAACTGGAGGAATTGTTCTTGGCTCATGCCAATAACAAATCTGAGAAATGAAGGGGCTCTTGAACTGTAACCTTTTAAAATAATACTCTTGACTTTCCATGCTCTTATTTAGTGAGAGGAGGACTCCAATGATGCAAACACAATATCAACATTTCCCTTATAACTTATAGGTAGGTGCAAAGGGAGCAATTGCAGACAAAAGAAATTGTCTATGCCTTATTTGTTAAATGAAACATTTATAAATAATAGTCATGCCAGAATTCCTCAAAGATGATAGCAAATGTCCATTTAAAATCATAGTCCTTACAGTTAAGAGTAAGAGCAAATCTCTTTGGCCAATTTCATTTTTTACTGAAAGAGAAAGTTAAATGAAACGTATCCACAGAGTTTGCCTGAGGAAATAAATTTACGTTTTGGCCTTGTTTCTGATTTTTTATTTTAATCTGCTTTTCAAGTAGAATTATTCTTTCCCCTAAGTGGCTTTTTACTTTTTGAGGTGGAACTCTTTGCTCTTTAGAGTTATTTTTCTTGGCTTCTATGAACTGAAATTGTACTGTTTGGATGCAGTTCACTTTAAAATGCTCTGTTGAGTAAGAAATCGAAAAGTATGAAAAAAAAACAAGGAGAATTCAGCACAGATTTGACTCCACTGTTTTATTTTGACACATCTGTCATTTTTATTTGTATCTAGCTTTTGCATGCCTCAGAACATGTGTACTTTAAATATGAAAAGTTTTGTACAGTCATAACCTCTTGCATTATTGCTAGAAGTCTTTTAAGGACGATGGTATATTGACTTTGATATCCCCATTACCAGCAGAAAGAAAGGGACCCCACTCTATATGGTGTTAAAGATCCAGCCTTTGCTTCCCAGGATGTTGTTTTCAAAAACAAGCTTGTGGCTTTGGTTACTCTGGTTTGTAATTACAATACTTAAAAAATAAATAAAAAGCCATAAGATGAACTTTATATTATTTCCATTTTAGAGATGAGAAGACATATGCAGGAATCTGGGTCTTATATCCAGGTCTCTCTAGCTCCAAATCCATGTTCATCACCAACAAACTGCCTCATAAAAATGTAATTGGCTAACTGACACAATCATATTTGATATACGTTCAATGTTCCACAGTATGATAGTTGATTTGGGGTGTCAACTTGACTGGATTAAAGGATACCCAGATAGTTGGTCAAAGCATTATTTATTCTTAACATTTCAGTAGGCGCTGAGCCTGTTACTCGTCTGCTAAAAGAAAAGCCCAGTCGCTTTTGCTTTTGATTTGAACGATTAGGCTGCCCCAGGTGTGTCTGTGCAGATGTTTCCAGAGATTGGCTTGTAAGTTGTGAAATGACTGGAGATCTGCCCTAAGTGGGGACAGGCATCATGCAATCAACTGGGAGCCCAGATAAAACAAAAAGGTAGAGAAATGGTGAATTCTTGCCCTCTCTTCCAGAGCCAGGATGCCCTTCTCCTGCCTTTGGATGTCAGAACTCCAGGTTCTCTGGCCTTTGGACTCCAGTGGTCCACCTGGCTCTTGGGCTTTTGACCTTAAACCGGGAGTTACATCATTGGCTTCCTTAGCTCTGAGGCTTCTGGACTTGGACTGAACCACACTACTGGCTTCCATAGTTCTCCAGATTGCAGATGACCTATCATGTGGGATCCTCAGCCTCCATAATTGAGTAAGCCAATTCTCCTAATAAATCCCCTCTCATATATCTTTCTGTATCTCCTGTCAGTTCTGCCTCTCTGGAAAACACTGCCTAAAACACATGGCTCTGCCCTCAGCATTTTAGGCCCTATATGCACAGACAACTTTTTAGATAAAAAGCACAATTGCTTTTCTCTTACTGATGTTCACGATATCGCCCTTATTTTGATTATATCAATGTTCAGCTGAAACCAGCCTGCTTGAATCATCTATTACTTCAAGTCACCTCTGCTTTGATGATTTCTCATTATCAGCTTGCTGCCTTTGTGAGACTCATTGCAGATTCTAAATATTTTCCCTGACTCTTTTCTTCCTTTATCTGCCTTCCTCTTTCTCTACTTTCTTTCCTTCCTATTGAGCCAACAGATGTTTTTAGAGAAGTAAAGTATTATTAGACAGTACAATATTTTCTTTTTCTGAAAAATACAGCCTCTATTCCCCTCAGAAGTAGATTTCTATGCAAACATTTTTCACGGTTCCTATAAAAACTCTCACCTATGCTGTCTCTTTGTCTGTTTTTTGAAACTATTCATCATTTTGTGGTTATAAACCTGTATTATTTTCTGTTTGATTTTTGTATCATCTGTTTTCTACATTTTAAATAAATATAAAAGAAATTTTGTTTTCTGTCCAGGGATTGCACGACACCCTTTAGAGATTAACTGGAGAACCAGTGACATAATACATTGATAAGAATTCCTGAATTCATACTTATTGCTCCTATAATTGAGCCATGTAAATTCATCCTCTTCCAAGCTCTTCCTCTGTTCTTGACAAAAATGAGTGCCACTATGGCCATCACTGCAGGGCAATGCTGCCAAGTAATAAAAGCACATGGCCTGGGCCCTCAAGAGGATTGCAGTTCATTTGAAGACTTCGTAATAGATTTTTGGCTACTTCCCTCACTAGAACTAAGTACAGATTCAATGTTCCAAAGCTGGAAACTCTCAAGTTTAGGAGAAAAATCGAAGTTATCTGTTATGGGACCAATAATAAGTTCCTTTACATCTTAAAGCTTAGCTGCGGTCTGCTGCAGTGGCTCACTCCTATAATCCCAGCCCTTTGGGAGGCCAAGGCAAGCAGATCACCTGAGGTCAGGAGTTCGAGACCAGCCTGGCTAACATGGCAGAAGCCTGTCTCTACTAAAAGTACAACAATTAGCCGGGCGTGGTGGCCGGGGGAGGGGGCGGGCCTGTAATCCCAGCTACTCAGGAGGCTGAAGTAGGAGAATTGCTTGAACCCGGGAGGCGGAGGTTACAGTGAGCCAAGATTGTGCCACTACACTCTAGCCTGGACAACAAGAGCAAGACTCCGTCTCACCAAAAAAAAAAAAAAAAAAAAAAGGCTTAGCTGTTTCCTCAACTCATTTCCCCAAATTGCTGAAATTTCTGGAATAATCAAGTTGGAGTGAGGGTGGAAATTCTTTCAAAAAATATGGGTAACTTCAGGACCCTAGATGCTTTCAAGTGCACAATGAAGACGGGGAAAAATGACTGAGTGGGTTGAGTGTCACCCTAATCTTCTTCAACTAGCAGATAACTTTTTTTTAATATTTTAAATTACTTTTATTATAACCCTATAGAGACCCGCAATTAAACACTAAATATGACTTACATTGTCCCCCCAAAGTGACTCTCCTTTAAAAAAGAATGAGATGTATGTGTATATGTGTGTGTATCTATCTATAAATGGGTATATATGTATATATGAAGTATATATATCTATGTATGGTATGATGTCATATTTTTTGACCTATGTGTATTTTTTCTCTTAAATCTATTGATTTTGCATGATGTAGGAGCACACAATTTTGGAAGGAACTGATTTCCTGAAAGGGTCCAGCCATGCATTGAAGGAGGGGGTAGATTGCTAAACTAAAAATGCATTTGTGTTAAACAATATTCAGCTTGTAGCTGGCACATAGTAGGCATTCAATTAATATTTTATGAATGAATGAAAAAATAAATGAAAGATGAATACTAGCTTAGATATTTTTCCCTGTAGGGCCTCTGGCTAGCCAGGTTCATGCTGTTTCTTCAATTTATTGAGGTCACTTTGAATTCTGATCTTTTCTTCTGAGGTGTTAGCAATCCCTTCTAAGTTGGTGTCATCTGAAAAATACTACCTGTATGAAATGTGTGACTGAGTTAAGCTAGGAGTGTCATGTTGGACATTTTCTTAAACTAGAACACAGCTGGAAATTATTACACAACCAAAAGCATACTTCATTTCAGTCTTATCAGGCCAGCCTTGTCCACATTTGACTGATTTTTCACTTATCATCTATAATCAATCACTCAATTTCTTCACTAAATAGAAAATAAGATGCACAACGAAGCCTCATGAAAATTAGAAGACAGAAACTGTAATAGGTTAGGGCACTATGGAAATACCTTGTAAACGTACTTTGTAAATTATGCTCCAGTGCATACCTATTGTATATCCCTCAATAGGCAAGGCTTGACACATAATATATAGAAACAATCCATTATCGATTTTCCCATAGGGCAGATGTAAAATCTCGAATGCACTCATATTCCTCTTTCAAAAATTTTGGTAGAAAAATATCTTACTGCTGGGAGCTTAATTCTCTTCAAGTTTCATAACCAAGTCACTATTTAGTTATCAAGAAAGCTTTTTTAACATCAAGATATAATAATAATCTCATGTTAAATTAAAGATACTTAGTCTTCTAAAATGCACGCAGCAAATTTTTAGATTTTTTAAAATACAAAGATGAATAGTAGGAGATAAGTCGATCAGTGATATGTATGCAACATGAAGGAAATAACCGAGATAATTATTCAGGTAATTTAAAATAAAATTCTCTTTAGCTTTTTCTTCTGATAAATGAAGTAAAAGTTGCCTCACTTGAATTTATATTTGTAGATTCATGTCACCATGGAAACTACTAAGCCATTGCTCAAAAATTAGTAGATTGTATCTACATTTTGTTCTTTTTATTTCCTATTCTAAAATTTATTTTTTTTATTGTACTTTAAGTTCTAGGGTACATGTGCACAATGTACAGGTTTGTTACATATATATAGATGTGCCATGCTGGTGTGCTGCACCCATTAACTCCTCATTTACATTAGGTATATCTCCTAATGCTATCCCTCCCTCTTCTCTCCACCCCATGACAGGCCCCAGTGTGTGATGTTCCCTTTCCTGTGTCCATGTGTTCTCATTGTTCAATTCTCACCTATGAGTGAGAACATGTGGTGTTTGGTTTCTTGTCCTTGTGACAGTTTGCTGAGAATGATGGTTTCCAGCTTCATCCATGTCCCTACAAAGGACATGAACTCATCCTTTTTTATGGCTGCATAATATTCCATGGTGTATATGTGCCACATTTTCTTAATCCAGTCTATCATTGTTGGACATTTGGGTTGGTTCCAAGTCTTTGCTATTGTGAATAGTGCCGCAATAAACATACGTGTGCATGTGTCTTTATAGCAGCATGATTTATAATCCTTTGGGTATATACCCAGTAATGGGATAGCTGGGTCAAATGGTATTTCTAGTTCTGGATCCTTGAGGAATCACCACACTGTCTTCCACAATGGTTGAACTAGTTTACAGTCCCACCAACAGTGTAAAATGTTTCTATTTCTCCACATCCTCTCCAGCACCTGTTGTTTTCTGACTTTTTAATGATCACCATTCTAACTGGTGTGAGATGGTATCATTGTGGTTTTGATTTGCATTTCTCTGATGGCCAGTGATGATGAGCATTTTTTCATGTGTCTGTTGGCTGCATAAATGTCTTCTTTTGAGAAGTGTCTATTCTATCCCCATCACTTTTTGATGGGGTTGTTTGTTTTTTTCTTGTAAATTTGTTGTGTGCTTCGGTTATTGGGCTACTGCTACTAAAACAAGATTTGAAAAGCATAGTTCCAAAATTGTCTGGGGAAACAACAAAAGTAGAATAACATTTAAGGACTGGAATTCTGAATGAGGTAGACTTTACCAATGCCAATTAAGTGTAAATAACCAATGTGATTTGTGCCACCTTAGTGGCAAACTGTCCAGTGATCATTATTACCTATAGGGTGATTATTTCGTACTAGGCACCAAGTTAGATGTTAACTCAGAGCAGTAGGTGTTTTCTATATATTTTGTGCCTGTGCTCCTTAGCTTTTAACAGACATCCCATACAGGTTCTTAAGAAACTCAATCTGAAAAATGGACACAATAGTATCTACCTCAAAGAGTATTTGTGACAATTAGTCAATTCATGTAAAATAATTGAAATGTCACCAGGCATACATTTTGTGCAATATATTATCTTCTCTTATTGTAACTACCATTATTAATACAAATCAAAAATTGTATTTTTAATAAGTAGACCTAAAATTTGAATCCTGGACAACATAGGATGTCTATTTTAATTGCTGATTTCTAGAACAAAATAACTTGTCTGGAAGTCATCAGAGAGCTGCTATTGTGTAAAGGCTTAAGGGATCAAGATCAAGAGAGAAAAGAAGCTTAAGGGTGAACACAGTATTCAGCACCATATTTCCCCTTGAGGTTTTTGCCATTTCCAAAGCATGACTATAAACTAAATAGAAACTGGTAGATGAGAAGAACCTGGGAAGAAGTTTCAAGAGTCTTACAGGATTGACTGATGGGAAATTGACATAGAGTTTCCAGATAAAATACCAGATGCCTGTTAGCTTTGAATTTCAGGAAAAAAAATACTTTTTCAGGATAAGTATGTCCTAATAAACATTTGCAATTCAAAGTTCAAAATTAATTGAGCTTTCTTTTTGTATCGTTTGGGCTTTTGTTCACTCTTGTTTGTTTCTGTGAAATCTGGCAATTCCAGTAGAATAGTCTCTGGTAAACAACCAAAGTTTTCAGCTGAGAGGCCAGAATATTTATACTCTAAAAGTAGTAATGGAGCAAAAATAGGGCAGATCTCATAAAGAGCTTTAAATCAATTCAGTTCCTAGATGAATTAAAACAATACATACCTGCCTTCTAGATGGAAAAATAAATTTTTGCTGGAGGAAGACAACATCTTCCAGAGCATCAAATTATCTCTACAATTATTTCAGGATTTCATTAAAAATTATCAGCATTATCAGGAGACTAGATAACTTGACCAAACAAAGACAAATACAAAAAGAGAAGTGAAAGAAAAAGTAGAAACATACCATAGGAGGTTATCAGAGACACACTCTTCAAAGCAACTGTGATTTATACCTTCAATAAATTAGATGAAAGATGGGAAGTTTCAGAGGTGAACTGGTAACTTTTAAAGAAATCCAATTAAATTCTAAAAATGAAGTTATTATAACTGAAATAACTCAATAAAGAGCATTAATAGTAAATTAGATATAAAGAGAACAGTAATAAATGAGAATATAAGCCATTATAAAAATGGACAGACAGAAGAATAGATAGCTATAAGGATGGGAAATTCAGAAAAGAGTGTAAGAAACCAAGAGAACATAGGAAAAAAGGATCTAACTTGTAATTGGAGTTCCAGAAAGAGAGGAAAGAGAGAATGGCACGACACCAATATTTTAAGAGCTAATAATGAAAAATGTTTTAAAACTGATAAAAGATATCAAGCCGCAAATTCAGGAAAAGCTACAAACACCAAGCAGGAAAAACACAAGGAAAAACATATACCTTGGCATAACATGGTAAAATCTCTTATGAACTTAGAGGCAAACATAGTAAACAAACATTAGGAGACAATCGATTGTTATATAAGAGAGACAATGTATTATATGACCAAATGTGTTTGTTTTAGGAAAAGGATTTTAATATAATATTCACAAGTCAATAATGACCCCTGTAAGGAATAAAGGGCAGAAAATCATAGTCACTTCAATCGATGCATAGGCAGTTGACATAATTCAATAACCATGAATAATGTTTTAAAAATCTTATCAAAGTATAAATAAATAGGCTTTCTTAATCTGATAAATAACATCAACCAAAACCCAATGTGAAACATCATAGTTATTTTGTAATAGTGTAAACTTGCCCGTAAGAAGGAGAATGAGCAAGGATACCTACTATAACTGCTTTTTTTTTAACATTGTGTATGAGGTCCTAGCCAGTATAATAGAGCAAGGACAAATATGAAAGATATAAGAATTGGGAAAGAAGAATTAAAGCTGTCATTATTTGTAAATAACACAACTGTATACACAATAATTCCAAATACACCCCCACACAAACTACTATAATTATTAAAATGAATTTACCAAAGTTGCTAGACATGAGGTCAACATAGAAAGACATATTGTGTCACTATTATAGTAAAATGAATTACTCGTCTTCATTCTTCACCCTCCCCTACATTCATGACTATTTATAGCTGTTTCATGGATGAAGTACCTTTCCTTCACCTTGACTTTGAGCTGGACCATTTTACATAGTCAATGGAATACTAGAGAAATGATGCAACCAAAAGTTTGAGATGCACTTATACAATTGAGCTTGCCATCTTTTGGGTCTGCCATGTCAATGAAAATACATTACTTTACCCTAGGACTCAGAAAAAGCATGTGTCACATAGTCACAACAACCAGGCTTAGCTGTACCTGTAGCTTGAAGCAAAGCTGCCCAGCTAAGCCTTGATGAGCTTCCCCAACTGAACCACAGATCTATGAGAATAAATTGTTTTTTAAGCCACTAAGTTTTGTTTTGTTTCACTATGGAGCACTATTGTGTTAACAGCTCACTGATATATCTATACAATAACAACAAATTTTGAAAAACAAAGTTATAAAATGATGATACAACTTAGCATCAAGAAACACCAAATATCCGGCAATAATTTTTTCCTAAATAAACATGACCACTGTATTCATGTACAAAAATATTGTTGAGAGAAGTTAAAGAAGGAATAAGTAAATGGAAGGATATGCCATATATGGATTTAGAAAACTTAATATTATAAAAATCAGTTTGGGGTTGTTGTTTGTTTGTTTGTGGAGACCAACAAATTGATCCCAAAATTCATAAAGAAGTGCAACAGGCCAAAAATAATAAACTTTTTTTTTTGAGATGGAGTCTCGATCTGTCGCCCAGGCTGGAGTGCAGTGGCAAAATCTCGGCTCACTGCAGCCTCTGACTCCCGAGTTCAAGTGATTCTCCCACCTCAGCCTCCCGAGTAGCTGGAACTACAGGCACGCACCACCAAGCCCAGCTAGTTTTTGCATTTTTAATAGAGACGAGGTTTCCCCATGTTGGTCAGGCTGGTCTCAAACTCCTGACCTCAAGTGATCTGCCTGCCTTAGCCTCTGAAAGTGTTGGGATTACAGGCATGAGCCACCACTCCCAGACAAAAATAATAAAACTTTTTTAATGAACAAAGAAGTATTTTCATTACTGAATATTAAAACCTGTATGTTTATATTAATTAAACAGTACCGACACAGGGATGGGAAAACAGGCCAATGTATCAACACACATATGGACACTTTATTTATGACAAGTGGGGGAAGAATAGTGTTTCTAAAAAAGGAGATTCTGCCAAGGGGAATTTTATATGGGGAAAAAATTAATCTTGACTCTACTTCAATAAAAAAATTAAGTGAAATGTAGATTAAATGTGAAAAGTTAAATCAGAAATCTTTCAGAAGATAACATAAAGAATACTTTCATGACCTTGGAGTGGGGAAAGTCTCCAAACAATAAGACTCTAACAAGTACTAACTATAGGAATAAATTAATAGATTGTTTCACATTAAAACTAGGAACTTCTGCTCATCAAGTCACCATCCCAAGAATAAAAAGGCAAGACTCAGAGTGGGAAAAGCTATTTCCATTTCCTATGTCAAAGGACTCAAATCCAGAATTATAATAAACTCTTAAAAATTAATATGAAAGTAACAATTCATTTTTTAAACAGGCCCTTCACAAAGAAGAATTTACAAATGGCCTCCAAATAAACAGAAAGATGCTAGGCCTTATTAACCACCAAATAAATGCAAATTAATATCACAATGTGGTATTACCTAGACATAAGAAAATTTGAAAGACTGACAATATTGAGTGTCAACCGGGAGGTGCAACTACCATATGGTGTTGGCAATTAACTTCTGTAGAAAACTATTCATTTGTATCTACTAAAGTGAGCACACATATGTACGGTACCCAGCTCTTCACTTAGTTAGATCCAAAAAGTGATATGCACATTTGCTGCAAAATACATGTGAAAAAATTATTCATAGCAATATTATTCAGAATAGCCAAATATTATAAACAAGCCAATAGTCTATCAACAGTAGAATATATAACACATGGTGGAGGGTATCTGTGTGCATGTGTAACCCAACAATGACTATACGAAATAACAAAGGTAAATCTCATAAGTATAATTATGATTCAAAGAGGCCAGACACAAAATAATGTATAATGTCTGCTTTCGTTTATGTCAAGTTCAAGTTCAAAAAAGGACAAATTTATCTCTGGTGTGAGAAGTCAAGATATTGACTGTCTTTGGGAGAAGGGAGGAGTACTTATTGGAAGAAAGCATGAGGAAGGCTTCCAAGATTTTACTTCTTGCTCTGTTTGATGGGTACCCAGGCATTTTTATTGTACAAATATATATAATTTGTGATATGAAAAGTTTATGTGTGTGTATACATATATGTATATATGTTTGTGTGTGTGCATATATATATATATACATATATACATATATATATAACTTGTGATATATAAAGTTTAAAAAAACAGTCTGGACAGATGGGATATTCTCAGTTCCTGAGCATAAAAATTAATGAGAAGAATAATGAATCCATTAGCATAAATGACAATGAAAATAATAATAAACAGCAGCTAAAATCAAGTAAAGCTCTTGTGATAAGTCCTAACCTATACAGAAGGCCTTAGAAGGATTATGAAGAGTGAGGCCATTTGGGATTGTATTAGCTGCCTGCTGGGGATGAAACTAGCAAAAATGCTCTCCAAGTGCAAGCAGTCAGACTCCAAGCAAAGGTGCAGATTTACAAATAGAACAGAAAGGCTGTGCAAAGAAGAGTTGCAGTTCTAAACTAAAGGTCTGCAATGCCAGCTGGCTTGGCACTAGCTTATCAATCACAACCACAGGCCTAGATAACACTTCCAGATCTAACTCTGCAATTATGAAGAATACATATGTATATCACATTTGTAGATATGGTGCATTTGTAGCATCATCCCCTTCTTCCTGTTGTTAATTGATAAGAATGGTTCAGAGAAATTGTGTGTTCTTTGGGAAACTTGATTATTTTATGGTTAAATCACATTTGTGCTTGAAGCCCTTTCTCAGACTTATATTTTCCTAGCCTTTCATAGCCCACTGGTTTTTTCCTCTTTTTTCTATCTAAAAAACTAGTTGCTTCCCTCCCAATCAAAGTGATAAATTTTGTAAATATTTAATTATGTACTGGCCATAGGTACCATGTGTGTATTGAATTAAGCAAAATGTGCTTTGTTTAATTCAGTTAAACAAACACCAATATATACCTACTAAACAATAGATAAAACTTGGCTTTAGGTAAGAGTTTAGCCCAAGAGAATTTCTTTAATTTACTTACATTGCCAAACTGATTTTTTAAGTCTACACAGAGCCCATTTCAAATGCAATAATCATAACAGAAGGCAATCTAAATCTTTAAAACTTTTGTTTCTGGGAGACTTTTTTTTTTTTTTTTGAGATGGAGTATTGCTCTGTCACCCTGGCTGGAGTGCAGTGGCGGGATCTCGGATCACTGCAAGCTCTGCCTCCTGGGTTCACACCATTCTCCTGCCTCAGCCTCCCGAGTAGCTGGGACTACAGGCACCTGCCACCACACCTGGCTAATTTTTTTTGTATTTTCAGTAGAGACGGGGTTTAACCATGTTAGCCAGGCTGGTCTCTATCTCCTGACCTCATGATCTGCCCACCTCGGCCTCCCAAAATTCTGGGATTACAGGCGTGAGCCACCGCACCTGGCCCTGGGAGACATATTTTTAAAAGGTCATAGGAATTATCGTATCACAATATTTCCTTGTCCAGTCTCCTACCTTTTTGAAGTGAAGGGAGAAGAGTGTTAAGATTGTTTTCAGTTATGTATCTCTGTCAACATCTCATCCTTATAGCACCTCATCAATAATTGTTAACTGTCTGAAATTTTACCCTATTTGCAAGTTAACATGTTAGCCTGCCACAGAGCATTAGCAGTTCATGGATGCTGGCAGAAGACACGAGATTCCTGAGTCAGAGACAAAGGACTTTCTTACTCATAGTATAGCAAGCAGCATGAACATCAGCATATTTGCACTTTTCCCCTACTCTCATGTCCCACAGGGATGACATGAGTGGGCCTAGATTCCTGTACACAAAGTGGTTTGCAGTAAAGGAAAGGAAACTTAATCTTCTACAATTGGCATATGCATATTTCTTCTTTGCTCTAGAAAGAGACTATATCTTTTGCTAGAGAGCAAGCACGCCTGCCCTCTGCTTTGGAGAAAGACACAAGTTTTCCAAGGCTCTTTGCTATACAAACACCAAACGGTAGTTCAGAATAAGAGAGCAGTTAGTGCCTCTGTCATTAGGCATGGAGAAAAATGAATGACCCATACAGAATGGTCTCCCAGTAGTACAAAGAAAAATTAGGGAAACACCAACATTCTACTTCCCTTAGGTTCTCCAAATAATAATTAGAATTGGAAGACAAATTTGATGTGTGAATAGAAATGATTATTTTGGGTTTCAGAGCTCATTGTTTTACATGGGTGATTCCATGAATAATGTATACCAAACAATGTGTGCATGAAATAGATGCTTCTCTGGGATGATGATAAGAGTTGGTGAACAGTTTGGCTTGCTTTCCACCACTTCTCACTGCCCTTCCCCCAACTCTCTCACCTGAGGTGATACAGCAAAAATACACCAAGCACTAGGCACTTAACGGAGATTATAGAATGAAACCATAGAAGGATTTGTCAGAGCAAAGGATATTTCCTCAAGTATATGAGGGTGGTATTGAGTATCTGCACAAACAATACAAAGAGTTCTAATCTCTGAAAGCTCCATGGCTAAGCAGAAAGAAGAATCCTGTTATTTGGCAGCTCTATTTTTAGCTTCTATGAAGGTGTTGTATTACAAAGGTAGACCTGGAATAATCAAGCTCTCTAACTCCTCTTAGCCTAGTAGAAAGTGCAGTACCTCTTCCTACCTAGGCTGTCTCTCTAATGTAGAGGAAGTAGAATAATGTCAAGAGATCAGTCTTTGAGGTCAGACACGTAAAAGTTAAATCTTATGTATTTTGTAACATTGGTAACTTTCTATAACCTCTTCAAGCTTCCATTTCCTTGTCTGTAAGATGAGATTTGTACTACCTAGCTGAAAGTTGCAGAAGAGCTAAGAAACTTTGTACCAGAGACCTACATAGGAACAGGTGCTAAATTTCCATTCCCTTGGTTGCTCTATTATTTTACAGATGCTGACGGCTCTAACAAACTCTCCTCTTCATCGATATAGGTATGGAGGTTGTAGCTAATGTACTCATTCTGAGATACTGAATTGTGTATTTCACTCTTTTTTTCTCCATGCAATGTTTCTTCTGTCCATTTGGCCTGCTGTTTCCTCCAGCTGGACTCAGCAGCTGCCCTCTGCAATTGTGTAACCTCTGGTTCCAAAGACAAGCTGTATTTTTATATTTTACTATCAAGCTATCCTCCCCACAGGCCTCCTTAATAAATACTTCTTTCTGAACTTCTTCATAAAGCAATGGCCCAGATTAAGCCATTGATGTGAATCTTCTTTTTAATTATGTTATTCACAGAAACATTAAGCTCTTTTCAGAATGCAGCACGGCTCATTCTTTAAAAAATGTGATACCCTGGGTTATGTGAAAAGGCTATAAATGAGGCAGATTGGAGGCTGCTTGATGTGCTTCCTCTAACACCAGGAGATTTGGCTTGAAGTTGCTTTTTAAAAGGCCTCCTAAATATGATGAGGCCTGTTTTACCCTGTTTTTTTCTTCCAGTTTTCCATTCACAGAAAATGTATTTAATTCACTGATATTTAAGTGTATGTGCTGAGAAAGACAGAGAGACAGAGGCAGAGAGAGAAGGAGGAAGAGAGGTTTGGATTCAAAACGGAATTTAGAGGAAAGATTAAAAATAAAAATGAATGCTGTATCTAAGCAGGCTCTGAACTCACAGAGGGACATTTTCAGTATGTATCAAAGAATGTTGAGGATTGAAGGTGACCTGGAAAGGATTTAGTTCAACCTCTTTATTTTGTAAATGAGGACATTAAAGGCCAAGGTCACGAAAACAGTAAGAGGCATGGTTTGGAAGAGAAGAGAATAAAGAGAGTGCCAGGTCAAAGTGATTTCCATTTTAATTTAGGCAAAAGTATGTCTGTCAAGCAAGGTGTGCAGCACTTGCTGTTAAGAGTTCTAAAAAAAGGTTTCATTTTATTCTAAGGATGTTAGAGACTCGAGAATATCCAAGTCCTGAGATATTACTCACATCTCCGTCCCTGGGAACTCACAAGGGGACTCTAGGAAAGGAGGACTAGTCATATGGGAAAGCAAGTATTTATTAATAAGTGAGATAATATTTGATACTGCCAAACCAAAGTAGAGCCTTTTGGTGAAAGCCAAGTTGGAGTATCTGTCACGTACTTGAGTCTAAGTTGGACTCTTATATTCTGAAATTGAATCTTGAGTATGCCTGGAAGGGCTCGGCCTATGAAGGATAAAAAGCCAGAAACCAAAGGAGTATGAATCTGTTTGTTAGAGGTATTTGAAACGATGTAAGTCCATCTTGAATAGGGGCTGGGTAAAATAAGGCTGAGACCTACCCCTACCAGGCTGCATTCCCAGGACGTTAGGCATTCTTACTCAAAGGATGAGGTAGGAGATCAGCACAAGATAGAGATCACAAAGACCTTGCTGATAAAACAGGACGCAGTAAAGAAGCCTGCCAAAACCTACCAAAACCAAGATGGCAATGAAAGTGACCTCTAGTCGTTCTCACTGTTCATTATAATATATTAGCATACTAAAAGACACACCCACCAGCACCATGACAGTTTACAAATGCCAAGGCAATGTCAAGAAGTTACCCTATATAGTCTAAAAGGGGAGGGACCCTCAGTTCCAGAAAGCCCCCACTCCTTTCTTGGAAAACTCATGAATAATCCACCGTTTGTTTAGCATATAATCAAGAAATAACTATAAGTATATTCAGTCGAGCAGTTCAGGCTGCTGCTATGCTTATGGAGTAGCCATTTTTTATTCCTTTACTTCCTAATAAACTTGCTTTCACTTTACTCTATAGCCTCACCTAGAATTCTTTCTTGCATGAGGTCCAGGAACTCTCTCTTGGGATCTAGATTGGGGCCGCTTTGTGGTAACAAGCTTAGATGCTCAATTTTATCTTCAGAAGAAATAAAAAGAGAGAAAGCAACCTGGTCAGGCCCTCCTAGGAAAACAGAAGAGAAGGCCTCACACAAGCTCCAACCATTGACTCACAGTAACCACCCAACCAACTAATAAAACAAGATCCAAGGCATATTCTAAGCTCTGTCCAGAACATGTAGAATCTAATCAGTAATTATCCCTCCCTTGGGAAGGACCTAGTAAGGAGTCCCTCAAAAGAGAAGAAGCAGGACTAAGAACACAGAAACATTCACTTCTCAACAGTGACAAAGCTAGCATGAGTGACAAATTACGTGTAGGATGCAAGGTTCCAGGGACAGGGGCCATTCATCATCTTTGTTTGTTGAGGTAACGATATATTTGATTAATATAAAGTAGTAATGCTATTAAGCGCCCTCATTATTCACAGATATGAGGATCCACTGTGATTAGAACAAAACAGTTATTTCATTACTTGAGGAAATAATGTGTTCTCTTAATTATTTCTTAAAATTATTTTCAATTACACTGACCTGTTGATTGATGAATTCAGCCCAGGCAGAAAATAAAAAGCCCAATTAAAAACAAAACAAAAAAAAAAAAACAAACAAAATTTTGGGAAAAAAAATTCCTTAAGAAGCCCAGAATTCTCTCTCTCAGTTTTTATTCTACCAGCTAGGAAGACAGAGATGCAGAGGAGTATAGAGGCTCATTTGGGCTTTAAAAGGTAGTAAGAACCCAGGTTCCAGGCTCCCAACTCAGCACTTTTTTCCCTTATACATCACAGCCTCTGCATGCAGAACTAAAATCACAGACATTTTTCATTGCTCAAATCATCAGCATTAAGGTCTGCTGTAAATATGTAGGATCTGGTCCTCCCAGAAGCGAGAACAAATTAATGATCAACTGGTCACAGTTCTGACCTTTAGTTTATCAGCTTGTCACCATATTCCAAAGCAACTCTCCTTCAAAATGAGCCTCAGCGCCTTCTTTCACCACCATTTCAAAACAAGGATACCCTAACTAAACAAATGTTAAATTATCACATTCAGATGCTACGAAATCTACCAGAAAGTCATTGAGCACACTTTGCTAAGTTCTCTAAATTTCTGTACAAATGGTAAGAAGACATCTGTCAGCTATCCTAATGGTGCATTCAGAAAAAGTCCTTCAGCAACCCCTAATCAGAGAAAGTTGAAATCAAAATCAAATCATTTCTCCTCTTTCCTCTTGCCATTTAACTGTATATAACACAGACATAAAAAATGGACCCCAACTGACTCAAGAGCAACATTCCAATTTGTACTGAGCTATTGAGATGGGTGAATTTGTCGGAGCCCATTCACCCAGGCAGCAGCTGCTGCCGCAGCCAGGCTCCTAAAAGATCTGCTCAGCCGTTGATGTGGGGTAGAGATGAGAGCTCCATTGGCTGAGTGTACTCCAAATTAACTTGTCTTCTCTCAATCTTTTCAATAAAACATCTAATAATTTTCTGAATATAATTTATTTAATCATCAATTACTTCAAATGGGGCTTAGCTACTCCTCAGATGCCTATAGAAGAACCTGAGAGACTGCAATTCTTAACTGCAGTTAACACTTCTCCACTCTAAGGATTGATTGGTCAGATTTTCTTGGCCAGATCTCTTTACCAATCCAGGAATCTTCAGGAATCATTATATCTAAAAGCTGGATCCCTGCTATTGTTTACATTTGTTATTGTTGGCATTCTACTACCTTACTTTATATTTAAAAAATTGTTCCTAACGCTTTTGAGACATATTATCTGAATTTAAATTTCATCATTAGGCAGTGGGGAAGGCAGGAAAGATACTATTTTTTCCTTGTGTAGATGAAGAAATTCTAATCTAGAGATGTCACATGTCCCAACCTCCCAGTCAATATGTAGCAGAGTCAGAATTCAAATTCCAGATGGCCCAAATCCATGTCTAATGCTTGTGTCCACCACCACATTGCATTCCTCAACTTCTCTGCAGTACCACACAGCCTTGACATGGCCCCTAGAAGCCAGGGTTAAGACAGCTGGCAGCCTCTCCTTCGACCCTCTGCCATCGCCAGTGATCCCTGTATTAGCTACGTGATTTGATACATGATCATCCCTCTGAGACTCAGTTTCCTCTTTCATAATATTGAAATAATAATTGGATCAGGTTCATGGGTTTTCTAAGGAGAAGACAAGTTAGTACACAATAAAGCACATAGAACATTTCCTGCTACAAAATAAGTGCTTAATAAATGTTAACTATCATTATTTCCCCTGATGCTTAAGTTGAGAGAGATAGCCAGGCTTAGTCCACAAACAGTGAGCTTCAGGTACTTATGTATTCCTGGAGTCCCTTTCTCCTGCTAAATTTCCCTTCTAGGTCTCTTCACTTCCTACCTCCCCATTGTCAGCCATTTCTCCCACTTTCTCCACTAAAATGCTCATGACTGGCTTTCAGTCCCTCAGAGCCCACAGGATGGACAGGAACCTCATAATTTAATTCATATCTGTGGGATGGTGTTTATTATCTTCCTCTTCTGAGATACTATATTTGCATTTTGACATCAATCTTCTGAAGACACAATAGCATAATTAATAGCTCACAAAAATTCCCACAGTTTACACATCACCTTAGCCTCAGTGTTGCCCAAACTTGAATCACAAACTCTAGGGGCAGAGCCTGTGCCTTTTTAAACAACTAGTTTATTGAGATCCCATTTACTTACTGCACAATTCACCTTTTAAAATTTTACAATGCAGTGGTGTTTATTCACAGAATTATGCAATCATCACCAAAATCTAATTTCAAAATATTCTCATCACCCTAAAAAGAAACCCCATACCTATGAGCAGTCACTCCACATATTTCCCTCCTCCCAGCCCTAGGCAACCACTAGTTTACTTTCTATACCTATAGATTTGTCTAATTCTCAGTATAAGTATTTTAGTATTTTATTCTGTATAAAAAAGCAAACACAGTATGTGGCCTTTGTAACTGGATTTTTTCACTTAGCATGACGTTTTCAATGTTTATTCATGTTGTACCACATGTCAATATTTAATTTCTCCTCTTTACGCCAAATAATATTTCATCGTATTGATATAGCACATTTTGTTTATCCATGTGTTAATTGATGAACATTTAGGTTGTTGCCATTTTTTGACTATTATGAATCATGCTGCTATAAACATTAGTGTAATGGTTTTTGTGTGGACAAAATATTTACATTTCTTTTGGGTATGGAGTTAAGAATGGATTTGCTAGGCCATATGGTAACTCTGTGTTTAACCTTTTGAAAAACTGCCAGACTTTTTCCACAGTGGCTACACCATTTTGCATTCCTGCTAGCCATGTATAAGGATTACAATGTCTCTGTGTCTCCACTAATACTTGTTGTTATCTTTGTCATTTTAACCATCCTTGTAAGTATGAGATGGTATCTCCATATGGTTTTAATCTGTATTTCCCTAATGACGCTGAGCATCTTTTCATGTGCTTACTAGGAGTTTGTATTTCTTCTTTGGAGAAAAGGCTATTCAAATCCTTTGACCATTTAAAATTGGGTTGTCTTTTTTATTGCTGAATTATAATAGTTCCCTATATTTTCTAGTACTAGAGTTTTCTCAGATAAATAACGTACAAATATTTTCTCCCATTCTGTGAGTTATTGTTTTACTTTCTTGATTGTATTGTTTGAAGCACAAAAGTTTTTTATTTTAATTAAGCCCAATTTTTTTCTCTGGTTTCTTGTGTTTTTGGTGTAACATATAATAAACCATTGCATAATTCAAAGTGACAAAAGTTTACTTATGTTTTCTCCTATGAGTTTTGTAGTTTTAGCACTTACATTTAGGTCTTTGATGCATTTTGAGTAATTTTTGTGTCTGGTGTAAGGCAGAGAGGTCCAAGTTCATTCTCTTGCTTGTGGATAACCATTTTCCCCAGAATCACTTGATAAAAGTCTGTTCTGTCCACATTAAATGGCCATGACACCTTTGTCAAAAATCAGTTGGTCATAAATGCAAGGGTTTATTCCAGGAGTCTAAATTACATTCCGTTGATCTGTATGATTATCCTTATGCTAGTACCACGGGGTCTTGACTATTATAGCTGTGCAACAAGTTTTGAAGTGAGAAGTGTGAGTCCTCAAGCTTTGTTCTTTCTCAAGGATTTGTGTGTGTGTTGTTATTCTGGTTGCCCTAAATTTCTGTATGATTTTTAAAAACACTTTGTATTTCCATAGGTGATTGAGGAACAGGTGGTGTTTGATTAAATGAGTAAGTTTTTTAGTGGTGATTTGTGAGATTTTGGTGCACTCATCACCCGAGCAGTATACACTGCACTTAATTTGTAGTCTTTTATCCCTCACCCCCTTTCCATTCTTTCCCCCTGAGTCTCCAAAGTCCATTGTGTCATTCTTATGCCTCTGCATCCTCATAGCTTAGCTCCCACTTATGAGTGAGAATATATGACGTTTGGTTTGCCATTCATGAGTCACTTCTCTTAGAATAATAGTCTCTAATTTCATCCAGGTTGCTGCAAATGCTATTAATCCATTCCTTTTTATGGCTGAGTAGTATTCCATTGCATATATATACCACAGTTTCTTTATCCACTCATTGATTGATGGGCATTTGGGTTGGTTCCATTGGAACCAAATGTTCATCTCTGTTAAGAAAAGTTACCTGGCATAATAGGTATTGCATTGAACTGGGAGGTGAATTTAGAGAGTATTACCATCTTAACAACATTAAGTTTTTTAATCCATGAAAAAGGATTTTTTTTATTTTAGTATAAATGGAATGTTTTCAAAATGATTTATAATTTTCAGTGTGGACATATTCTACTTTTGTTAAATTCATTCTTCATATTGTATTCTTTTTGAATGCTATCATAAATTAAATTGTTCATTGTTACTATGTAGAAATACAATTGATTTTCATATATGGGTTTATATTCTGCAAACTTGCTTAACTCATTTATTAGTTTTAATAGTTTTCTAGTGGATTCCTTGGGATTTTTTATATGCAAGAGCATGTCATCTGCAAATAAAGATAGTTTTACTTTTTTTTCCTTTTAAATATGGATTCTTTTTTTTTTTCTTTTTCTGGCCATTATACTGCCTACTACCTTTGGTCCAATGTTTAATATAAGTGATGTTTAATACTGTGTTTAATACAAATCATCATCTTGTTCCTGACTTTTGAAAGTTTTCACTTTTCCACAGTTAAGAATCATATTATCTGTGAGTCTCTGTGTAGATATGCTTTACTAGATTGAGGAAGTTCTCTCCTATTTCTAGTTTGTTGAGTGCTTTTATGACAGAAAGATGTTTTGTTTTGTCAAATGTTTTTCTGCATATACTGAGGTGATCATGTGTTTTTTAATATAGCCTATTACATACTGATTTTTGCATTTTTAAACCAGTCTTGAATTATTGGATAAATTCCACTTGGTCATGTTCTATAATCTTTTATATATGTTGCTAGATTTTACTTGCTGGTATTTTTTTGAGGATTTCTGCATCTATATCATATTGTTCTGTAGTGATCTATTCTTCTGATCTATTTCCCTGGCTTTGATATAGGGTAATGCTGGCCTCATAGAATAACAGGAAATGTTCCTTCTTTGTAATGAGTTGAATAGTGGCTCCCCAATAGATGTGTCTGAGTCCTACCTCCTGGCACCTATAAATGTGACCTTATTTGGAAACAGGAGCTTTGCACATATCAGTTAAAGATCCTGAGATGAGATTGTCCTAGGACACCCTAGGTTTAGGGTGGGCCTTAAATCCAATGACTGGTATTTTTATATAAGGAAAGGGAGATTTGAGACAGAGAGGCAGAGGGGAGAAGACTGTGGAAAGACAGAGGCAGACACCGGAGTCGCCAAAAGCCAAGGAATGCCTGGAGCCACCAGGAGCTGAAGAAGCAAAATGCTTCTCCCATTGAGGCTACATTTCACACTGTAGACGCATTGATTTTGGACTTCTGGCTTCAAGAATTATGAGAAAGCAAATTTCTGTTGTTTTCATCTGTGCAACATGTAGTAATACACGTTTATAGCAGCCCTATAAAATGGGGAATTAAAACGCTCTTCTATTTTTTTGAAGTGTTTTTGAAGGATTGTGTTAATTGTCCTTTAAATGTTTAGGAAAATTCACCAAAGTCATCTGAATCTGGGCTTTTCTCTGTGGGGGGATATTTATGATGATTTAATCTCTTTATTTGTTATAAGTCTATTCAGATTTCCTATTAATATTTCTTCTTGGGTCACCTGTAATTTATGTTTTTGTAGGAATTTATTCATTTTGTCTAGATTATCTAAATAGTGGCATAGACATCTTGATGGTATTGCCTCATAATTATTTTTATTTCTGTGAGATGTATGGCAATGTCCTCTCTTTCATTCCTGATTTAAATGATTTGACTTCCCCATTCTACTCTCATTTGGGGGTCAGTCCATCTAAATGTTTGTCAATTTTACTGATCTTTACAAAGAACTAACTTTTGGTTTCATTTATTTATTTTTAATCCTCTTTTATAAATTCTTTATTTCATTTATTTTGTCTTTAATCTGTATTATGACCTTCCTTCTGCCTGCTTTGGGGTTAGTCATCTCTCCTTTTTCTAGATTCTTGAGGTAGAGAGTTACTGATTTGAGATCTTTCTTCTTTACTTACAGGCATTTGCAGCTATAAATTTCACCCTAAGCACTGTTACAGCAGCATATAATAAGTTTTGGTATTTTGTGTTTTCATTTTAATTTATCTCAAAGTATTTTCTAATTTCCCTTATGATTTCTTTTTTGGTCAAGTGATTATTTAGGAGCATATTGTTTAAATTCCACATGTATGTAAATTTTCCAGATTTTCTTCTGTGATGATCTCTAATTTTATTTCATTGTCATTGGAGAGCATAGCTCTTAGGATTTTAATGCTTTAGGTCTAAGGAGAAGTTAACGTGATTTTCCTGGGAATAGAATACCTACACATGATAATTTTCAAATGAACAAAATATGCTGAAATTTTTGGCAAAGGTAAGTAAATATGATGAGTTTATTCATGAGGCAAAAAGGCTTGTGAATTTTTTACTGCAAATTGTTACATGGCTAATATGCAGAGATCTAAACTAAAATTCTAAATTTTAAAGAAAATTAAAGCGTTTTCTTTCAGTCAAACCTGCAAAGCTTTTTGGGTCCAGATTGCAGAGGTTCTTTTTATTACCAAATATTTTGTAATGCTCTATGTTTTTGACACAATTCTAAATAATTTTAACAAACTTTCATGATAATCATTATAAATTACTTTTTAAAAGATATTTCCTATAGCTATTTTTTGCCATTGGATCTTCGTGACTTGGACTCCGTCATATCTTAACTCCTTTAGAAACCCTTCTTTGATTTTGCCTTTATCTAATTCAGACCCCAAACTAAAAAACTAAAAACTAAGAAAAACAATTAAGATTTTTTTTAATGCTTAAAGTATCTTTGGTTTTCCTAAATGGCCAATATTAGCATAAATATTTGCTTCTTCATTTTATAAAAAGAACATTATAGGAATAGATTTGCTTAGCCTCTCCAAATTTTAGTTACCTCAACAGTATTGTGAAAGCTTTTTTATCAAATTTAGGATTAAAAAAGTCTAAAGAATTGAAAGAGAAGTCCAGCCTTTCTAGTTTAATTACAAATAAAATGTTAAGGAAAATATGTTTTAATGATTGTGCACTTTTCAGATTTAAAAAAATATACTCACATTCAAAGACTACTGAAATACTTGTTTATAAGATTTGTTTGTAGTTTAAATACTCTTATCAATCAACCAAGGACAATCATAATATATCTAATATCAAAATATTAAAGGCAGAAGGAAATTATATCCTTTTTATCACAGAAGGAAATTTGGATACAATTGTATTTTCTTGAAGAGTTTTGGGCTTTATTGTAGTAAGCAGTTAAATTATTTAAATATTACTTGTTTTTTTGATAATTGTTTTTAATCTCTTTTTTCTGATGGGCCTAGAGTAGCTTTTTCTCTATAGGGCAAATTTTGTCTTATGATTAAGGTATGATCATCTGGAGTCTTTCCTAAATTCCCTATACACTTAGTGAGGCCTCTCTACCCTGCATAGTAAGAATTTACTTTCCAACCATGCATAAACTCTGAGAATAGGTTAACTCACAGTGCCTCAGTAATGTTCTTTCTTTAGGAGTTATTCTTTACCTATCCTCATGCCCTATAGCATGTGTAAAATGGTATGGATTCAAATATTTAAGGGATACCTGTGCACATTTCTGGAACTCTTTCTCTGCTTAGCTCCCTCCTTTAGAGTACTCTTCCTTGAAAATTATGGCTACTTCAAAGTTCTTGAATTCCTATCTTCATATCTTCAATTCAGCAAGACTACTGGTTCCCCTTTTTATGCTACTGCCCCGTAATTTATTCCAAGAATACATTTGGGACAAGAAATGGCAGAGCTCACCGATTTTATTTCCCATCTTTCAGGAATCATAGTCTTAAACTGCCATCTATTACATGTCTGAAAACAGTTGTACCATATAGTGTCCAATTTTTTAGTTGATTTTGGATGGGAATGTAAGTACAAATCCTTTTGCTCCATCATAATCACAAGTGGAATTCAAAATAACATTTAAGACAGAATTTGCATAGCCGTGTACATATTTCTTTCTTTCTTTCTTTCTTTTTTTGTAACAGATTCTTGTTCTGCCACCCAGGCTGGAGTGCAGTGGTTAGATCTTGGCTCGCTACAACCTCTGCTTCCTGGGTTCAAGCAATTCTCCTGCCTCAGCCTCCCAAGTAGCTGGGATTACAGGCGTGAGCCACCAGGTCTGGCTAATTTTTATATTTTTTGTAGAGACGGGATTTCACCATGTTGGCCAGGCTGGTCTCAAACTCCTGACCTCAAGTGATCCACCAGCCTCGGCCTCGTAAAGTGCTGGGATTACAAATGTGAACCACTGTGCATGGTCTAGCCATGTATATATTTCAAAACCGAGCGTTCTTTAACTCAAGGAAGATAGCAGTAAGATATTTTCTGATTCAGCACCTTAGTAATGACTCAAGATTTACCTCATCATCTGACACTAAAAATCAGATTGAAAACACCAAATGTGTTAATTCTGTGATAGTGTAGCAAAAAAGAAAAAACAAAAAAATCTTGTTTTGCTTCTGGCAATACCTGCCACCAAATCCTGGCCCAGCTGTTTAACGTGCTGATGTTCACTCCTTTGAGGATTTTGTTTCCAAATCAAAAAGAAAGGTAGAAAATGGTTTTCTCCATACGTATCAATTCTGAACAATATTAGCTTCTCCAAAATTACATGGAAACTAGGATCTCTGGAGAAATCTTTTATTTTACTGCAGGTGACAGCTATTTGGTTTTATGCTATTTTTCTGTGCTCAGTAAATACTTTTTGAAAAATCAAAAATGGGCTGCTATACATGAATACAGCAAAATATTCAGGAACCAGGATGGATGCAAGGTAATAACCTTTTTACATTCAATACAGCTGCTAAAAAGTGATGGATGATGTGGCATTTCATGATCTGTGAATCTAACTTATGTTACCTTTTATATCCCATCATCCTACAAGCCTGCCATGACTTTATTATCCCCCATAATTTGGCCAATCTTCCATTGGGCAAGAAGCAGGATATCCAGAATATATTGGGCTGAAAGGTAAGTACACCGTGTGTCTTCATGAGGTAGACAGCCAAGGTGAAGATCTTGGGTAGAATTCCCAAAAAAGAAAATGAATCCAGAAAGAAAGAAAAATAAATGGCATCACTAACTAATGGAAATGTAATATTAAAAGAAGTAGGAGTATCCAAAAATAGAAAAACAGGAAGAACCAAAGGGAAAATATAAAAGGAAACTATATCTCTACATATTTGTAACATGTTAAGTGATGAGAATATTCAGTATTAAAAGCTATCAGTTTTTATTGTACCAATTTATAAATTCTATTCATTCACAGTTTAAACCCAATGTTTTTATAAAACTTGAAACTAGAATTTCAAATTTCACATGGCATAATAATGACCTAAGAATACCTGAGATAAATCTAAAATAAAAGAACAAAGGAGACTTGTCCTAATCAATAACAATATTTATTACAAATATGTAGTAATTAAAATAATGTGACATTAATATAGGAGTAAACAATAGATCAATAGACTAAAAATCAAAGGCAAAAAAAGAAAGGCAAAAGGCATGTATATAGAATTTTATATATAATACTATTAACATTACAATTCAATGTGCTTTTTGATAGATTTTTCAATAAATGGCTTTGGGTCACTAAACTTTCTACATGAAATAAAATTAATGCCAGATCCTTACAACACCCCCCACAAAAATAAATGCTAGATTAAGATCGTGTTGTAGACGAGGTTCCCCAGAAAACAGATTTGCATGCAGGAGGTTTATTTGGGCACGCACTTCAAAGCAAGAGAAATAGGTAGACAAAAGGAGAAGTTGAACTGTGACAAGTGCAGCAGAGGTTTCAGCTTTAAACCTGTGAAGTCTCTTCAGAGACATCCTGAATGGAGAAGCAGCCCCCCAGGAAGGAGAGCAAACTTTTGGGGCAGCATCCTTTGATGGAGGAAAAGTCCTATGGAAGAATCCAGCTCTGAAAATTCATCAGGCAAAGCTCCCAGAAGCTTAAAAAACAAGTGCTTTGCTTCTTTAAAGGAAGATTTGGGTTGGGTTGAATGAATAGCCCTCACTACAGTCCACCCCTTGTATTGCTCAGATCTAATTACTTTGCTCAGTTCACCTACATGGTAAAAGCTCCTCTAGGATTCTGGCTGGTTTCTTTGCTTGGGAAAACTTGTAAGACAGGCTTCCGCTCCTGCAGCTGGGCTAATGGCCAGAAAAATACTCATTGTTTCCATCCTCTATTACTCATTCCTCAATCCCTTTACTCTTAGCTTGTATTACTTGGTGGGATAAACTAGACCCTCATTTCTAAGTGGCATGAGCTTCTGGTGACCACGCCATTCTCAGACTGTGGCTCCTACATTTTTCTATTTATGAATAAAATTGGCAAGGGAGTACCAAGAAATGCTCCAGTGAATCACCTAGCTGACAAATACATTCTCCCCAACCTCCACTGAAAAACAGCAGCCCTCCCACTTCCTGATAGTCAAGATCAATTAACTCTGCCAGAATAACAATGTCTTCCTTTGCCCACAGGGCTCATGGTTCAAGAGGCCCAAAATAACCAGGAGGATGCAGTAACAAAGTTTATACGTTTTTGCTGTGTTTCCTGGTGGAAGTGTTCTGTCTTCATGCAATAGGATCTATAGCCCAAAATGCCTAGAGCTGCAGGAATCAAAAGCCCAAATTGGCAAATTTGGGCTCATAGAAGAGAAGTGGGGTCATGCATACTTCCACTCCCTGGTTTCTAGACCATGTGTTTTTCCTTTAAGGGACACAGCACCAAATTATATTCATCGATTTACTGAGTCCTGGAGCATCATGCCCATCCTTGAATGGTATAGTTTCCAAGCTGGCCTGTCAGTTACACCTGTAAAAGCCATCCCGTCACTCTATCTGACTGGGACTTCTGGGTAGTGTAGTATGTGATAGGACAAGTGTATCTTATGTCACATGCCTACTGCTGCAATCCTTTTGTTACAGTTAATCTCTTAGTTTGATATAATTTTATGCAGAATCCTGTGTCAATGACGTAAACCTGCAAGTCTTTAGATGATAGTGCTATATGAAGGCCTGCAAGCAGGAAAGGCAAAACAACACAGTTCCCTTCAAGATAAATCAGTGCCCCTTCAGGGAGGCAGAGGTCCAAGGTAATCCACCCCTTACCAAAAGGCTGTGTGTTTTGTTAGAAAGATGGTGCCATACTGAGAGCTCATCTTATTGTTGATTTGCATTGTTCAGAGTTGGACATTCAGAAGCAACAGCAGCAGTTAAATCAGCCTAGGTGAGTGTTAGAGCAGCTGTCACAGTGACTATTCCATTTTTATATCCATTGTGTCATAGAATATGAAGGTGGTCTTTTATGGATGTTTGATGCCAACTAACTGAATCATTCTGTCTATCTGGCTGTTTAGTCACTCTCACAAAAGAGATGTTCACTCTTGGGAATAATCATATGTTATAAATTTTGTAGCATTATCATTCATTATGTTTACATCCTCTTGTTTCTGCACCACCACCTGACCTTTAATTACTTGGGTATCATATAATCTCCATTCCTGTAAAGGCCCCCTGTTCTAATATCAGCCTTGGACTACAGAGGATACCACTGAGCTTCTCAGCATTACTTTGACCCCCTTAACAGTTTATACCTCATCATTTTGTTAAATGGAGTGTACTGTGGACCCTCTCATAAAACATAGTCAGCTGGGGGGTTTTTTAGCCTCTTATAATATTTTTCCAGGTTTATGTAGTATATCCTCTCTAGCAGGCTCACTTTCCTATGATTTTTTATTTTTATTTTAGATGGAGTCTCACTCTGTCACCAGGCTGGAGTCCAGTGGTGTGATCTCGGCTAACTGCAACCTCTGCCTCCTGGGTTTAAGTGATTCTCCTGCCTCAGCCTCCTGAGTAACTGGGACTACAGGCACATGCCACCACACCCAGCTAATTTTTTGTATTTTTAGTAGACATGGGGTTTCACCATGTTGGCCAGGATGGTTTTCCTATGATTTTAAATCCCCTCTTCCACTGCCTAAAATGATTCTGGAATTTCTGCTTCACGTGAGTGTGTCTCAGTCTATTCAGGCTACGATAACAAACTACCACAGACTGGGCAACTTATAAAAAGCAGAAATTTATTTCTCCTTAGTTCTGGGGACTGGAAAGTCCAAGATCAGGGCATTGGCAGATCTGGTGTCTGGTGAGGCCCCATTTCCTGTTTCATAGATGGTGCCTTCTCACTGTGTCTTCACCTGGTGAAGGCAAGGCAGTTATCCAGGGTCTCTTTTATGAGGGCATTAATCTCATCCAGAGGCCTCCGCCACCGTGAGCTAATAATCACTGCCCAAAGGCTCTACCTCCTAACACCATCACATGGGTGACTAGGTTCAACATATGAATTTGGGAGGGACACAAACACTCAGACCTTAGCAATGTGGAGGTCTCACTTTTTCCAAGTTTTCAAGAGCCATTTAAAAAGCATGTTAGTACTGACTCCCAGGGTCCCTGTCAGGGTATGAAAACTTGTATCATGAATGACTGTTCCCATATCACTAAAGTCTCCCTTATCAAACTTTACACTTTATCTTATTTGATCTAGAACCCTGACTATGTTATAGTGCAATACTTACTCTCCCGTCCCCTATTGTGTCCGGAATTGGTGGATTCTTGGTCTCACTGACTTCAACAATGAAGCCACGGACCCTCGCGGTGAGTGTTACAGCTCTTAAGGTGGCGCATCTGGAGTCTGTCCCTTCTGATATTCAGATGAGCTCGGAGTTTCTTCCTTCTGGTGGGTTCGTGGTCTCGCTGGCTCAGGAGTGAAGCTGCAGATCTTCGCAGTGAGTGTTACAGCTCATAAAAGCAGCGTGGACCCAAAGAGTGAGCAGTAGCAAGATTTATTGCAAAGACCGAAAGAACAAAGCTTCCGCACTGTGGAAGGGGACCCCAACGGGTTGCCAATGCTGGCTCGGGCAGCCTGCTTTTATTCTCTTATCTGGCCCCACCCACATCCTGCTGATTGGTAGAGCCCAGTGGCCTATTTTGTCAGGGCGCTGATTGGTGCGTTTACAATCCCTGAGCTAGATACAAAGGTTCTCCACGTCCCCATCAGATTAGTTAGATACACAGTTTCCACACACAGGTTCTCCAAGGCCCCACCAGAGAAGCTAGATACAGTGTCGATTGGTGCATTCACAAACTTTGAGCTAAACACAGGGTGCTGATTGGTGTATTTACAATCCCTGAGCTAGACATAAAGGTTCTCCAAGGCCCCACCAGAGCAGCTAGATACAGAGTGTCGATTGGTGCACTCACAAACCTTCAGCTAGACACAGGGTGCTGATTGGTGTGTTTACAATGCCTGAGCTAGATATAAAGACTCTCCACATCCCCACCAGACTTAGGAGCCCAGCTGGCTTCACCTAGTGGATCCCACACCAGGGCTGCAGGTGGAGCTGCCTGCCAGTCCTGCGCCGTACACTCACATTCCTCAGCCCTTGGGTGGTCGATGGGACTGGGCACCTTGGAGCAGGGGGTGGTGCTCGTTGGGGAGGCTCGGGCCGCACAGGAGCCCATGGAGTGGGTGGGAGGCTCAGGCATGGTGGGCTGCAGGTCCCGAGCCCTGCCCCGCGGGAAGGCAGCTAAAGCTTGGCGAGAAATCCAGCGCAGCGCCGGTGGGCTGGCACTGCTGGGGGACCCAGTACACCCCCCACAGCCACTAACCCGGGTGCTAAGTCCCTCATTGCCCGGGGCCAGCAGGGCTGGCCGGCTGCTCCGAGTGCGGGCCCGCCAAGCCCACGCCCACCAGGAACTCCAGCTGGCCCGCAAGCGCTGCAGGCAGCCCCGGTTCCCGCTGGCGCCTCTCCCTCCACACCTCCCTGCAAGCTGAGGGAGTGGGCTGCAGCCTTGGCCAGCCCAGAAAGGGGCTCCCACAGTGCAGTGGTGGGCTGAAGTGCTCCTCAAGTGCCGCCAAAGTGGGAGCCCAGGCAGAGGAGGTGCCGAGAGCAAGCGAGGGCCCTGAGGACTGCCAGCACGCTGTCACCTCTCACTATTGGAATATGTTAGACAGGTTCTGTAGTTCTTCCTAGTGTAGTCCTGTTCTTTCCTTAGCAGGCTCAGACCTCGCTGTCTAGATTATGTTATTACTTAACCCTAGTTAAGGGCAGGAAGCAGGAGAGACTTCAGGGAGGGCAAATGTTTTCTTGCAAAGAAGACCTCTGCATAATCTTAATACAAACAAGGAGCAATAAACTCTTAACAGCAAGAAATGGACCACTTATTTGGCCTGAAGTGTTTAGGAGAATTTAAGATTTTTGAGTGCATTAACTCAGTCTTTTCAAAAGTCTTACAGTCCCACTCCTTCCCAAGCACTGCCCTAAACTTGGTGTAGTCGACTTTGTAGGGCTGAGAACTCAACTTTCTTTGGAGTTCTACTATCCGTATTCTTAGCCCTGGGACTGATCCTCAACTTTCTTTGCCCTATAGCTGCAGAAGCTGGTATCTATTTATATACCTCCGAGAACATTCTCTGGCTATCACAGAACCTTAAATTGGTGGTTAATTGTCCTCAGCTTTGTTTGTGTCTTTCTCCAATGCACCAGTAGCTCCCAGCAACAGCCATCTAATTCCCAAATCCTTATAAACTCTTACTACTTCTTAAGAATCTCTCAATCACTTGAGATATTGCACCCACCAGTGCATTTTCTTCTGGCAGTATGCCTTCTCAATTCCCCCATTCCAAGTTTTAAGATGCCACATGCCAGGGTTTATCATTATTTCATCTATGACATGCATCATTATTGCCAGTCAGCTAGTAGGTGATCCAGCTCCAAATCTACTTTAGAATCTGTTTCCTAGGATTATTTCTAGTGTCAACTGTCACAGATGAGGTTCTCTGGAAAACAGACTCTAAGATGGAGACTGGCATGCAGCTGGCTTATTGGTGAGTGATTAGCATAAAGGAGGGAAGGAAGTAAAATTGCACAGAGAGAAAAGTTGAACTTTGATACATTGTGGCAGAGTCCTAACTAAGTTAGTCTCATAGAGAGTTTGAAGTTGGACTGTGCCTTTAGAAAATTCCAAATAAAGTTCAGGGGCCAGGCTCTTGTCTTCCTGTGCAAAGTAGTAATTGAATGCAGGGCTGTCTCTGAGGAGAGAGCTATCTTCAGCAAAACAGCTTAATTTGACCAAGGGTAATTTTGAAAAAGAAACTGAGCTACAAGCTGTCAGAGGACAATGCTTCTGGTAGTTGGAGAATGTTCTTGAGAAACAATCTGAGCTATGCTCCACAGCATTCACTACAGACTACAATGTGAAGATACAACCTTTAATAATGGATGGATAGATTAGACAGACAGATGATAGATAGATAGATAGATAGATAGATAGATAGATAGATAGATAGATAGATGATAAATAGACAGATAGATGAGACAGATTGAGAATACCTTTGTGATACAGGAGTATTGAAGAATTTCTTCAGACATTGAAAAGTTCCATTCTAAAATAAATGATTGGTAGGTTGGACTGTATCAAAATGAAAAACCAACTACATTTACAAACAGCACAGGCAAAGATAAATAATAAGGAACAGACTTGGAGAAGATATCTGCAGAGTGTATTACAAAGGCTTCATATCCAGAATGTATAAGAAATTCAAGTAAATCATTCAGTAAACCAACAATGTGAAGGTAAAAATAGACAAATTATGTGAAAGGCAGTTTATGCAAGCATCATTATGATGGCCAATAAACAAATAAATGCTTAACATCACTAGCAAAAACAGAAGTGGAATTAAAGCAATAAAATTGTACTTCGCAACCATCTGAGTGGCAAAAACTAAAATGACACATGATATCTAGTGTTGGCAAGGCTGTAAGAAAACAGAACTGCTTCTACATTTGCTAACTCAAACATTGGTGGGGGAATGCACACAGATACTTTGGGGAGTAATTTATCAGTGTTGATAAAGTTGAAAGTGTACATAACAAAGAATGTTCTGTTCCATTTCTGGGCTTATCTATAGGAAACTTCTTGCACATGAATGCAAGGAGAACTGAACGAGAATTTTCTTAGCAATATTTCAGTAAGAAAAACAAATAAAGGAACATAGCCTAATGGTGTCAATTACAGAATAAATAAATAAAATGTGGCATATATGCAAAATGGAATGTTCTACAGAATGGAATGCTCACATTTGTAAGGCAGGTTCTTTTGTATCAACAGAAATAGATCTTAGTAATATCCCCATCTGGTCCAGTCAGGAAGAAGCCCCCACTGCTGCTTGCTCCAGGTGAGTCCCCCACATCTCTGTCAGCCTTTCCCTTCCAAGCAACCCTCTGGGATTTGCCACTCCTTCGTCTTTTGAAATCCTCAGGACTCATCTCATTTTTCCCAGAAATGCCTATGCCTATTCCTCTGCATTCTCCTTTTCCTGTTTTATTTTCTTTATATTCTCACCATCGGACATAATACATATTTGATTTCCTTCTTTGGCTATCTTTCTCCAATTACTAGATAAATGCTGTGAAGACAGGTTAATTTTTTCTGTTTTGTTCATCTGTAGCCTTAATACTTAGAAAAGTACCTAGAACACTGTAGACAGAAAATATGTATTTATTAAATGAATGAATGTGGTAGAATATAGAAAGTAAATTGTATTAGGATGGTGCAAAAGTACAACCACTTTGGCACCAGCCTAATAAAACAGAATGTATAATAGGATGTAGCTTATGTAAAACTTTAAATACATTCAAAACCATACCACATAAAAGTAGTTAAAACATTTTTAAATGGACTGGGAAAATGTATTACAAATTCCTGATAGTAATTATCTCTGAGAAGAAAATGATTATAATGGGTTTGAGGAAGGAAACTAGGACTCCAACTTTATGTGTATTTTTTAATACTATTTTTTGAATCTATTTACTAATATGTATTTCCTTTCATTTAAAAAACATATAAGGAGTTTTTTGGGGTTTTTTGTTTGTTTGTTTGTTTTGAGACAGAGTCTCGCTGTCACCCAGGCTGGAGTGCAGTGGCCTGAAGTTGGCACACTGCAAATTCTGCCTCCAGGGTTCAAGTGATTCTCCTGTCTCAGCCTCCCAAGTAGCTGGGATTACAGGTGTGTGCCATCACATCCAGCTAGTTTTTGTATTTTTAGTAGATACAGGGTCTTGCCATGTTGGCCAAGCTGGTCTTGAACTCCTGACCTCAGGTGATCCACCCTCCTTGGCCTCCCAAAGTTTTGGGATTACAGGCATAAGCCATAGCACCTATTCTACTTCTCTCTATATTTAAATTAAAACAAAAGGAGCCCAAGTGAGAAAATTATGATGTTCCAGCATTTATATAGAATTCAGCTAATATTCAAAATTTCAAAAGTTGCAGGTGATAAAATGTCTCTCAGTGTAATTTTACCAGGATACAACTTCCATCTAGCATCCCTGTCAGATTTACAGCCAAGTGTCTAATGCTTTGATTTATTTAGTTTAACTAAAAATGAAAAATAGACATGCATCCAATTTTAAAAATAAAAAATTAAACTAATAAACAAAATTTTTCTAAACTTAAATTATTTTTTTGCAGTCAACTAAAATAAAAAATGAGCTTGATGATTTGCCAGGGATGAACTCGATCCTATTGGTCTTCAGCTGCAGCCTAAGAGTTAAGAAATGCACCCACTAAGTGCTGGGCAGGTTTGCTCAGGCAACTCTAGCTTCCAAGGGAAGGTCAAGCAGAGAGGCCTGCAGTGCCTGCTGGAGCTCTAATGGGTGAAAGAAGACCAGCTGTGTTACAGCTACAAAGCTGGATCTGAAAGTACCCCCGTGCTTCTCCCCGAGAACTCACTCCTTGAGCCTTTCAGCTTGCAGATGTAGTGATAGTATGCTCAGGTTGGCTTCTCCACGGAAGAGGCTGAGTTCAAAGTCCAGTCTGAAACATACTCAGCTGTCTGTAGCTGACCCTCAATAAAATCAACCTGCCCAGAACTCTGTGGTCTTTGGACTGGTCATGTCTCAAGAACATTTCACCTCATTCATCACCAGAGCAGATATTGTGGATCAAGGATTCAACAACTATTCCCCACCAACAACCTCTTTAGAGAATTTTCTCTATATGGACCCTACATTTTGAAAAATATGGCCATCAAATCAATTTCAAGAAAGATAGTTTTACAATTTTTATTGACCAAAGGATAAGGGGTCAATACATAAAAGTACATAAGATCAACCAGAGATGCCAATGCTACACTGACCTAAACTACAGAACCCTGATATTTTAGTCAGCTAATCAGCGCTAATGGAAACAAAGGCATAATTTCCACCGGGCTTTTTATGACCCTTAGCACAGCTCCAGAACTCCATCACTAGTTTCAAGAAGCTCACTGACATCTATGGCTCACTTATCTGGATTTTTATTCCCCAGGGAGGCTAAAACCAAATCTGGGGCAGAAAAGTTAAAGTAAAAATTTCCCTTTACTTACTTCTTCCCAATGTTGGACTTTTAAAGTCATGAAACCCAGTTGTTCCTTTACTTCTTGGTGTATTTCAGCTTCATCCTATGAAGCCAGCTCCATGGGGCCTGGAAAAAAATTATGTACCTTGGATAGTACATCATCAAAAGAGTTAAGTTACTCTGGGGTGGGGAGAGGGAGGGATGATTAGAGCATTATCAAGAGTCCTATCAGCTCAGCATCTTTTTCTTCTGGTGCATGTGATTGCCCTCAGAAAGATACCCCAGCATCATAACTTCCATGCACAGAGATACACTCTGAGAATAAAAACCAAAACAAGAATGAGAGGTCAAACTGTCAAGCTGCTTTGAACCACATAAAAGCAAATTGAATAAATGCAGCTCAGAAGGTACACATGAATAACCATTAGGGCTGTTCATGTCTGCCTCTCTCTGACAACTCACACCTCTGTCATGATCCTTCTTTATCTGTAGAATTGTTCAACCCAGTTGACTTGTAAAATTAATTCACAGAAAATCCAATCATTATGCCCTCATTTTATAATCAACTTACTATTAGCATGAAAGAGTGTCATAAATTAGGGGAATAATTCTACTAGACGTCCTTTTAACTCAAAGAAAGTGACCAAACACATATTTATATATTCAGCAAACAATAATCAGAGAAGCTTGAAAAACAGTGTTTTTCTCCCTCATTACACAGGTAGCTGAAATGCCATTTTTAAAAAATGACTTGAACCTAAGTAAACAATCTCCAGCAGTATAATTAATCACAAAGAAGTATATATGAATTGACAGGATTTTTGCTAGACTCAAAAGTAATAATAATATTCCTAGTAAGCTGAGGGCTCGTGATTACTTTCTCTTGTCCCTAGCCTACAAAGGAAATTAAGCAGTTCATTCTTTTGTGAAATTTTTAATACTAGAAAAGACTGAATGTCATAGAAAAAAATGTTGACTGTAATAACACAGTGGCCTGGTGACAGTAATCTATGCAGTTTGATTATGTTATAGTCATGGCTGTAAATTTTTATGGGTCCACAGGCACATTTATACCCTGCTGCATTCCTGAACAGTGTTTCCTGCTTTTGGAATGGCTAAATGAGACAGAAGATGTGGAACATGATAGAGAATTATTTGGTTCACCATAAGATGAGACATATATATGTGTCTGGTCAGATAAAGTGACTACAAGCATGTGAAGCTCATTGGGAAGACTGTAGAAAAGCTAGCAGAGTTTTCAGTCCATCTAAACACAGTTTGTGTGCATGTGTGTGTGTGTAAATTTCCAAGAAATTATGAGATCCATTTATTTGCATAGCAATTCATTTAATTCAGCTTCATATATCATCCTATGCAGCCACCCCTGCTTAGGGAGTAGTAGGAAAAGCCATAGCATAGGGTCGACCTTTTAGAGAAGCCATGCTTTGAAAGATTTATGGAATCGATGAATGTAACAGTCAGTATTATTTCGTTGAACTAAAACAAACATGACCTTGCCCTGAAAACATTTACTGTCTATTGAGGCAAACAGATAATAATCAAATAATCATACAATGCTTATTAAAAACTGAGATAAGAACTGTGTAGGAAACGTACAGGGAGCTGTGAGAACTTTAGCAAGATAGTTGGACTTAGCGATGTCAGAGAAAGTCTCCCTTAGTAAACAATCTTTGATCAGAGATCTGAAGAACAGGTTGGAATAACTGGATAAGGGATAAACATGGAAGTAAAACATCTTTTGCAAATGCTCTGAGGCAAATAGAAGTATGGCATGTTTGAAGACCTAAGAAAGATCCTGAGTTCGGTGTTGGATATTGAAATGGAGATGCCTGTAAGACAAGAAGGCAGTTGAACATACGGCTTGTCATCCTGTAACCTTATTATGCTCAGTACTCCTGAAATGCCATGCCAACATAAACAACACAAATTTTGCTATTAGATGATCATGAATGTATACAGAGCCAGAGGATAATGTAAAATATTTTCCATCTCATATCCCTTTGGTTGACTGTCTGTGCATAGAGCATTCTCTAATAGACAACCAGGAGTTAGATTTTGCAGGCTTCCCTCTTCTTCACCTTCACAGAATCTCAGCTCTTGAGAGATGGTGGGTGTTCTACACAGAAGGCATCAGTCTTGGCTCCATCTAGGGAGAAAGATGACCTTATTGAGTAGAGCTGGAGCTTCCTAGTGATGGGAGTTCTAGGAGGATGTTTCATGGTACACCATCTACAAGACAAAGTCTCTGTCTCCATATTGACAAGTTTTCATAGTAGGACTTCAACTCTATTTATACTAACACAGCCTCTAACACTTAACACAAGGACAGTGTAAATTTTATTTCTATTAAAGCACTATGGCAGAACTGCTGAGGATTTTGTTTGTTTCGGTAGTAAAGAGGTAGAGAACCTTTGAACCTTGCATGTTGTTCATTCCTAATGAATCAAGAAACCAAATGCCCTAGAAGTGGAAACAGTCCAGCTCCAGGTTAAACTCCTCTGATGGACTCTACTAAGCTGGCCTTAAGGGTGTACCTTTCCTGACCTGATGATATGCCTCCACCAAGCTTGTGCAAGCAAGTGTTTATAGAAGTCATTTCTCTTCTGTAAGCCTAAGGAGACTGTTCTCAGAAGGTGGAGTTCCAGACCTATCAGCTGGTTAAACAGAATAAGAAAAAAAGAGGAAAAAACTGAAACTGAGCTGAGCTCAGCACTCTGTTTTCTCTGGTATTTGTGTGTGTTGGTCCCTCTGAGCTTTACCAGCCCAGGAAGATCCTCATGGTGGTTGTGTGTGAACCAGCTAAATAGCTGTCTCCTGCACTACAAGGTAGCTGCTGTGAGGATGTGAAGACTGCAGATTTCTTTGTCCTGGAAATTTCCTTGGCCTGGAAACTTCCTTGTCCTGGAAGAGGAACAATATTGGGCCTGCCAAGACCTAAAATCTTCCCAGAATGGTCCAGAATCAGAGCACAGCTGCCACCACCAGGAGCTAGCAGAAATCTTGGCAGTAGGTATCTGGAAGGAAGAGGCCAATTCCACATGACAGGAGGAGGTGGGTTCTGCAGAACCAGCTCATCTGCTAATGTTAGAGTGATGCTTTTCATGGATATTTCAGGGACCCTGCAAATATATTCTAAATCCAAAGGCCTCATATCTCAGGCAATTGTCCCCAAACAGACTGGCCAGAAGCCTCTGAGGGACCAATGGAGTCTTCCCCCAAAGTCTAGGAACACAGTAACATCCCCTCCCTCCCACCCACCTCCACCCTGTAGTGCTCCTCCGGCCTCAGCTGCCCCTCATTGACCTCTGGCAGAAAGCAAGCAGGAGAAGGGGTTAGCCTCCTGCATGAAAGCCAGCACATCTGAGGGTGAAGACAGAATTGTTATGGCAACATGGCCACTAGAGTGACGTCAGATTCAGCCCAGCTCAAATGCCTCCGCAGTGCTCCCTGGGTGCTTCCTGCCACACGTCCTCCGCATGCTATTCTCATCAGCTAGATCGTGTGCTTCCTGAGGACAGGAACCATATGTTAAATTTTCACAGCTCCTAGCAACTTGCAAGAGGCTCAGAGGGAAAACTTGTAATTGAATCTTCTTCCAGCATTTTTGAAGATGGATATTCAATGACTGGTTAACATTAGCTTTGAAGAGAGGATCTAGGAGGTGGTACCGGGAGGGACAGGGAGGGAGAATTTTACTTTTCATCTTACAACTTATGCACTTTTAGAATTTTTTTCTGGCCATGTGGCAAAAATGTTTTACATAAATATTTTTAAAACAAGATGGTCACTTTCAGTTATGTTCATTTGGGGCACTGTACCTATGCTATGATATATACACTATGAGGAGCAAGGAAATTAATAATTGGTTTTAAAGATTTAAGTCAGAAATGTTAGTGATTTTGGCATGAGAGAGAAATGTTTTTCCCAAGAGTCACCAGCCCCTCCCTCTTCCAACAGATACTTCTAATTACCCCTGACATTTATTCCCTCTGGGCCCAGAGAACACCTATGAGTCTTTCTCTACCCAGCGTATTAGACAGTTCTTAAGAATTAACTGGAGTTGACCCGTGGTATGAGACCTACACATCATGATAATTCATGGCCCCTTTTTGAATGATAACTTTACATCAATGAATCTAAGTTAGAAACTGGAGAAATAAGTCCAGACTAGGATGAAAGGAACAAACCTGGTGGCACAGAACACAGTGAAATGTGATGAAATCAAACTGCAGGGCTATAGTCAGTCTCCAGGTGAAAACTATTTATGTGAACAGAAATGTTTCTTTTTTATCTCTCACATGTGAATAAGAACATGAGGTATCTGTCTTTCTGAGCCTGGCTTCTTTCACTTAACATCATGATCTTCCAGTTCCATCCATGTTGCTGCAAATGACATGATTTCATTCTTTTTTATAGCCAAATAGTAAGTTGATCTCATAGAGACGGAAACAAAAATGATGGATACCAGAAGGTGGGAAGGACATGTTGGGGGATATAGAAGGGTTGGTTAGTGGGTACACACATACTGTTAGATAGAAGAAATATGCTCCAATGTTGCATAACAGACTAGGGTGACAATAGTTAGCAACAATGTATTGTATATTTCAAAACAGCTAGAAGAGAGGACTGGAGATGTTCTCAATGCATAGAAATGATAAATACTCAAGGCGATGGGTACCCCAAACACCCCGACTTGATCATTACATATTCTATGCATGCAGCAAATATTCACATGTACTCTATAGGTACGTAAAAATTTTGTATCAATTTTTTTTCAAAAAAGGGAAAAGAAATGTTTCTTTGGAAGATGGTGCCTTTCATCTGTCTGGGTGGCTGCCTCTGTTCCTTCGTGGCACCTGTTTTGGGGTTGAGCAAGTAGTGGACACAGGAGTGGGATGCTGTCTCACACCATCAAATCCTCACGCTGCCTTTTCTGCAAAAAGGACCCTGCTCTAATGGCCCATCATTTCACAGTTTCCATCGTCATTCTTCAAACTATATGTGGTAGCCTCATCAGAGACACCATAGAGTGTTAATAAAAAATAATCTTTTCAATATATTCTTTTAATCTCACAATGAACAAAGGCAGAGAAATGCTTTGGAAGAAAAATGGCTGCTCCTGGAGGCCGCAGCTCTCTTGGGAAGCAGAGCAATTCATCTACTTGCTGAAATAAGGAGCTCCTAAATCTTCTGAAAGTTGTAGAGGAAAATCACATTGCAATACAATTTCAGTATAATGGAAAATGGGGTATTTATTTGTCTGGGAAGTCACAAATATGTTACTTGCTCCAGCAAACTGGTATAAATTGGGCCACCCAGGCTGAGGTTCTTGTATGCTCTTCAGCCCACTAAATACCTGCTAGATTACCTGAACAGTTCTTGATAGTGTGGGAGGAAAATCCCCAATACAGGACAGGTGCAGTGGCTCATGCCTATAATCTCAGCAATTTGGGAGCCCAAGGTGGAAGGATCACTTGAATCCAGGAATTCGAGACCAGCCTGGGCATCACAGCAAGACCCTGTCTCTATAAAAATATTTTAAAAATTAGCCTGGTGTCGTGGAACATGTCTGTAATCCCAGCTACTCCGGAGGCCAAGGTGGGAGAATCATTTGAGCCAAGAAGGTCAAAGCTGCAGTGAGCTGTGATCGCACCTCTGCACTACAACCTGGGTGACACAGCCAGAGCCTGTCTCAAAAAAGAAAAATCCCCAATACATACAAAGTAATCAATTCAGATATTAATCTGTCAAGTCCCTACCATGTGCTAGACTCTGTGCTAAATGCTAGTCGTGGTCTTTGTACCCAAAATGTTTGCACCCTCAGAACTAAGATCTCTGCACTCGGTAAATAATTGGAGAACAATGCAAAGGAACAGAGGATAGTGGCCAGCAGGCGGGAAAGGGCATGGGAGGCCAGAGGCAAGAGAGATCAGTGTGAAACAGCAGCTGGGAAGCCTCATGGGCCATGTGGAGAAGACAGGGAAGTGCAGTACTGACAGAGAAGTGGCCTGAGCAGGTGTGGAAGTGGACACAGATGAAAACCATGGGTTTGGGGAGGAAATAAACCAGGTCAGACAAAGCGTCTGCCAGGAGTCTTAGAGGTAATGTGGGGTAGGAAAAATGAAAACAGGTTATTGAATCATTTCATAATGAAGCAGCCCCAGGGTAAATGATGACAATGGAAACCAACACAACCTAAATTCTTCAGTACTGAAGCCCAAGCCCATTTCAGGATTGAATTAAAAAAAAAAAAAATCTAGAGCACATCACTATTTTGGATTTTGTCACTCTATGTGGGATTTTTAAAAATCCAGTCCCAGCTGCTTGGGAGGCTGAGGTGGGAGAATCACTTGAACCCGGGTGGTTGAGGCTTCATTGAGCCATAATTGTGCCACTGCACTCTAGCCTTGATGACAGAGTGAGACTCTGTCTAAAAAAAAAAAGAAAAAAATCAGATCTAGTACTATCACAGGGCTCTAAAACCTCATAAAGCCCTCAGTGGCAAAGAGAAGATGAAGATAATTGAGCCATTTTGGGGATCTACCTACTCTGTGTTTGAATATCATCTCATTACCTGGGCCAGGCACTGTTCCGTGCCATGTAATCCTTACCACAAGCCACTGAGGTTGATTCTCTGTTTTCAAATTAGAAACATGTGGCCCAGCAAGATGAAGTAATTTTACCAAAGTCACCCAATTAGTGAGCAGTGTGCACACAGCAGTCTCAGGTCTGTGTGACCCTGAAGCTCATGTTCTTTGCAACCTGGCACCATCTAGGTGCAACAAAGCTAAACCTGGATAAGTTTCGTGCAGATGGCACATTAGTGCTTGTCCATTATGCACACTGAGGACATGAGCATGTCACCCAAAAATATCAGTTAGAGTTTCCCGGTTTGAGATTCTCCCTAACAATACCGAAAAGCATCCCTGTGCTTTCTTCATTCATTGCACAAACAGGAAGTACTTGTTCTGTGTCAGGCACTGCTATAGGCTCTAGGACAGAGCCATGAGCAGTGCAGGACCCTGCCTTTATTGTGTACCTTTCCACGGGGAATAAGTAAATACTGAAAAAAATTTTAGGAAGAATTTGTTGGTAGAACTTGTAACAAACTATGAGCAATTATTACTTAAATTGGGCCATGTTCCCCTGAAGTAAAAATGCTAAGGCTAACTTAAGCATAAATGAATGTAGCAAACTATAAATAAAACACAGCTTCAAATGTAGTACAGCCTTATATTAAATAATAATTTTAATTTCTAGGGTATTCATAAAATGTAATTAGCTAAGAGGAATGTCATTCTTTTCTTGTCTGGGACTTTTCTTATATTCTTTGTCCTTTACTGATCTACTTGTGAGGTGTCTAGGATCAGACCCAGACTTTTTTTTAGGACAAAAAAATAAAATTTCAAAGACTACTCAGTCTCAGGCTATACTTACACAAGGTAGGGACTTTTAAATCACAAACCTTTCATTGAACTCAGTTCTCTATTCCAGTCAGTGCCCAGGTCCCTGCTGTGTTGGATTCAAGGCAAGGCAGTTTTCCTTCCCTGTGTGGCCTGTAAAATTCCTGGTGACGTTTCCTGTACAAAATGCTTTTTTCTCTCTCCCTTGGAGATCAAGTAGTGAGTACTGTGGAGGGAAGGAGACAGAATCTTTTATGTTTCACTTTGCCTTTAAAAAAATATATTTTCTTTGGGAGGCCGAGGCGGGCGGATCACGAGGTCAGGAGATCGAGACCATCCCGGCTAAAACAGTGAAACCCCGTCTCTACTAAAAATACAAAAAATTAGCCGGGCGTAGTGGCGGGCGCCTGTAGTCCCAGCTACTCGGAGAGGCTGAGGCAGGAGAATGGCGTGAACCCGGGAGGCGGAGCTTGCAGTGAGCCGAGATCCTGCCACTGCACTCCAGCCTGGGCGAGAGAGCGAGACTCCGTCTCAAAAAAAAAAAAAAAAAAAAAAAATATATATATATATATATATATATATTTTTTTTTTTTTTTTTTTTTTTTTTTTTACTGGCTATTTCTCAAATGGATTTCTCCATTACATTAGAAAGCCATCATTCTTTTCCCCCAAAACTCTGTCATCTCTCCCTCCTCGCACTCCCCTCCCATATCATCCATAAAGATGATTCTGGCTTCTTAGAAACCCTAACACTTCCAGTGACTGTAGTCAGAAATCTATTTAACTCATCCAACTAAAGTAAAAAGAACTACAATCTGTCGTGTTTAATATTGGGTTTTGTTTAACTTCTCTAGAAATTAGGTTGTTTTTTTTTAATTGTGTAACTTAAAATATTCAAAAAATACTCTTGAAATAAAAACTTGGAAAATAACCTCAAAATGCTTAGCAAAGTATCTTTTTAAAATGAGAAATGAACTAAGTGACTTTTAACAGTTCATATATGCCATATGTTGTTCATATTGCCAATCAATTTTGTTTCCTTTATTGACCAGCAACAAACATTTTGTTTATTCAGCACTGAGCAAGACATTTTTTTCTTCAAAAGGCAAAATGGACCAGACACGGTGACACACGCCTGTAACCCGAGCACTTAGGGAGGCCGAGGCGGGCAGATTACGAGGTCAGGAGTTCGAGACCATCCTAGCCAATATGGTGAAACCCCGTCTCTACTAAAAATACAAAAATTAGCCGGGCATGGTGGCACATTCTTGTAGTCCCAGCTACTCGGGAGGCTGAGGCAGAAGAATTGCTTGAACCCAGGAGGCGGAGGTTGCAGTGAGCCGAGATCACACCACTGCGCTCCAGCCTGGGCGACAGAGCAAGATTCCGTCTCAAAAAATAAAAAATAAAAATAAAAGTTAAAATGTAAAGTTCTTACATTTTTCACCATGTCTGGCCTATAGTTTGTGCTCAGCTAATATTTCAAATATACAGCAGCAGAATATGCTTAAGGCATAAAAAGTGGAAACATTCTATTGATGTGGAAATAGACAAAAAGGTACTGCAGAATCCAAAGTTACTTCACCCATAGTAACCACTCGCGCACCCACCTTGGTGGTCTCTCTAGGAAGAGATGGAACATGCCTCAGGATACAAAAGGTACAGAGGTTTGGAACAGTAGCTGACACCAGAATGCATTTCAAGGTCAGGAGCCTGTTAGCTTAAGTGCAAGCCTTATGACTTGCCCAGGTATAAAATTGCCTTGTTATAGTTCAATTTTTTAGCTACTTTATAAGTTGAGAGGGTTAAATTTAAAGGGTGCATTTGAAAATATTACTTATTAAAGCTCTCTCTCTGTTTTTTTCTGCTGTAAATTCCATTTCCATTTAAATGGAAGCAGAAGCAGACAAATTGCTCTCATGATGCTCTTCTTACTTGTGTTTCTATGGAAATGGATTCTGGATTAGGAAGGGAAAAGCTAAAATCAAAAGCCTTATAAGCAGGCAGAACATAACTGAGGGTGTTTTGTTGAGCTGTTGGTCAACTACAAGGTAACACGATGTTAATGTAGCCCAAACTTACATAAGTAAACACCCATGTTCCCACTTTACCTCTCCTGTTTGGCCTCTCCTGTTTCCCATAAACACAGCTTAATCAAACTCTGCCAAATACACAAAAGTAAGAAGCCCAGAACTTTGACTTACGGATTTTCACTCTCAGTACAGTGTCCCTCACTAGATCTTTTAAAACATTTCCCTCTTAATTAGTTCCTAATATATGATTCTTGCCTTAATATATGTGTTCAGGAGCAATGGAAACGTTTGGAATATTCTTAAGAAAATGCAGTCTACAGATGCAGTGGCTCACACCTGTAATCCCAGCACTTTGGGAGGCCGAGGCGGGTGGATCATGAGGTCAGGAGTTCAAGACCAGCCTGGCCAAGATGGTGAAACCCCATCTCTACCAAAAAAAAAAAAAAAAATACAAAAAATTAGCCGGGTGTGGTGGCACGTGCCTGTAATCCCAGCTACTCTGGAGACTGAGGCAGCGAATTGCTTAAACCTGGGAGGCAGAGGTTGCAGTGAGCCAAGATTGTGCCACTGCACTCCAGCCTGGGCAACAGAGCAAGAGTCCATCTAAAAATAGAAAATGCAGTCTAAAAAAGATAAATGAATAAATAACTAAAGCTGAATTTCAAAGTATAAATAATAACCTGGTATTACTTTTACCTTTATATCACAACCATTTCTTAACAACTGACATTTGAATTAAAAAGAAGTTAGACTTACACTGTCCCTTTGTTGTGAAGAACTGCCACACAAAACCTATTACTAAAAATTTCTATTACACAAACCGTATCTGTCAGCTGCTGTCAATTTCCACACCCTTTCGATTTCTAAAAGGCTTACTCTTTTGCCAAAAATATAATACTAATACAGTCTCTCTTATGATAGGAATTTCACATTAGTAGCAGCTCAGGAACAAATTATACTCATATTTTCTGTCAGTGTTCAATGTTAGGGAAACGTACCTGATATTTATTCATGAGACAAAACTAGAAAAATCTTGGTCTAAAAACATGTTCACATAGTTATACAAACTATTAAACAATAATAAAACCCAAACAGAATATATGAAAATCTATTATAAAATTTCCCATGGCAATGTTGGTGTTTATCCTCTTAGCTGTTTGACATGAAAGCTATGTGGTACACCATATATGCAATCATTACTTCTAAACTTCTGGATCGGCATAAGAATGAATTTGTATTCTGGTGTAGATTGCCTAAAATGTCTCTGAATTCCCTAGTTAAAAAGGTCTTACTAGTATCTCCATACTAGAATTGAAGGGCTAGCAATTAGAAGAAATTGAGTCGTTAGTCACACAGGACTTAGCATTTCTTTTAAGTGCATGATGACTATAAAGCAATGATATCAGAGAATGATAAGCAAGGGACAAGACAAAAGAGAGAGGGAAGGAAGGAAAGTAGGAAGGAAGGGAGGGAGGGAAGGAGGAGCAAGGAAAGACAGAAAGAAGAAAGAAGGGAGAAAGAAAAGAAGAGGAAAAAGGAAGATGGGAAGGCAGGGAGAGAGAAAGGAAGAAAGGAGAAAGAGAAGACAGAAAAATGACAAGAGTGACAAGAAGAAAGGGATGAAGCAAGCTAGAGAGGGAAAGAAAGGGAAGAAGGAAGCTAAGAAATCTGGAGATCATTGAGTCAATAATTATTTTGAAATTAAAAAAAAAGAAAGTAACCAGAAAGCAAACCACGAATCTTAATAAGCTAACACTTATCATATATAGACCACAGGAATAGCGTTAACAAATATTACTAGAGAGCAAGATGCAAATAAGCAAAAGGGACAGATCAGAAAAGGTTAAGAGGGGGAGGAGAAAACTCCAATAACACATCAGTGTCTCTTCAACATATACGAATCACTTGTGTTTCTGCTGGTGGACAATCAAAAGACACGAATCCCAGGCCTGTTGAAATAAGGTCTCTTTGTTACTGATCATAGATTAAGACAAGTGCTATGGGTAAAAATAAGAGAAGGAAAGCCAATGTTGTTGTATAGCTGTATGCCACAAAAAACACAAAAACATAGCCACATAAACATTTGGGGCCATTTATCTGATTGTACATCTCAAATCTTTTGTTAAAACAAAATGATAACAAATACATATGATGCTCATTCATTTTGTGTCTTAGCCATTAAGTGGAATACTCAGCAAGCTAAATGAGCATTACTTAATTTGAAAAACTTTTGAAACCCATTATCTAACTTGTCTAAAAGGGCAACACTTCCTTAATCGTTCTAATTATTTTCATTAATATTCTCAATGAGGAAAGACAATACAGTCATTGCAAGTTGCTGACCAGATGTGCCAAGGAAGCAAATGCCTGGCTGCCAAAAACATAAAATAAAAACAGCAAAACTTTGTGAGAATAATAAATAATTGAAAGCTAGCCAAAAGATTCCATTATTGAAAACTAAAGGTCACTTTTTATTTGAAAATATATCATTATCACTTCTTTCTGTCCAATCCCAAGTTAGAATAGTGCTAGAACTATAGCTTCTCAGAATCATTGCTCTATCTCTCCTGGATTCTCTCCCACAAAATCCCATGTGCACCTCTTGATTCCTCTGTACATGGATAGATGGACACATTCGTGTCTTGTGAAAAGCCTGTTGATATGCATCACATCCTATTCCTTCAGTCTCTCTTGCTAAGAGAACTAGAGAAAGTGGTAGTAGACAGAGTGGCCAAAGAGAGGGTGGTATGTGTGAGTGGGATGGGGTGCGGTTAGGCATAGGACAGACACACTGAGGACTAGATGGTAAAGGTGTGCTCTGTTGAAGGGACGCAGTGGGTCCAGGCATAGACTGAGGAGGTTGAAGAGTCCACTCTAGACTTGGGAGGTATGGAAGAAGCAAAGCGATCCAAGTGGGAGTGAACAGAAGTGCAGCAAAAGGCAGTGGGTGGCGGGTATGCCGAGAAGTGTTTCCTTTGCCCTAATTAAGAGTCACTTTGAAGGTAGAAAAGAGAAAACACGTGGTGACTGTTACCTTTATTGGAATCTGATGCTAAAAGGATGATTGCAGTCTGATGATGAAGTTTAATGAAATAATTGCTGTGAAGCAAGAACTAAAGTTTCTGATCATTGCTCATAACAAGCTAATTATTTGAGAGCCTGTTCTTCATTTTGTACCAAAATAAAGTAGTCAATGATAACTGATATTCCTTAGGCATAAGACAAACAAAAGGATAGAGCATACCGGGGGAGGGTGATAAATGTACACTTCCCTTCATTTAATAGGGCTTTCAGCTCTGATCAACACATGGGAAAATGCAGCTAGATCATGCCCTTCACTAGTTAATAGGGAAATGAGTCAGAATCAGCAGATCTTTTAGAATCGTGCTAATCGGTATAAAAGGAAACTCACGCAGACCAAAGAGAGATGAGGAGAAGCAGGGGATAGAGCTGGGGCTTAGGGGAGGAAGGGAAGAGGGTACAAAGGAAAAGACCTCATCAATGTGGTACTAAAAATGGACCACGATCGACTAAAAAACTGATAACCCCATAAATGTTTGACAATTTGAAACAATAGAGGCATAATCAAATGAATTCAATTCTGTGAATTTTGACCTAAATGATTGAAATTGGAATACTAATCAACTTATTAAGTTTGTATGTCCCAACAGCTTAGTAGCTGTTTAAAAATAATACACATATTTTAAAAGATAAAAACAGTATTTTTATTTCAATCTCAGCTAGCATTAGTGACAGATGTGTGCCTGGTGGGTACTGTGTCCCTTCTCAATGTTTGGAATTAACAAGGATACTGACACCCTCATTTTCTGTCCCACATCCATTTTCATACGGCCCTTGCTTTTTCTCACAGCAGTCACTAAATCCCAGCTTCACAAACATACAACATCACTGAAAGGAATGTAGTACAATCTAGTGTGAAACCGTGAACCGCCACAAGTAGCAGTTCACATGATATCCACTGAAGTTGCCGCATGTCCCTCAAAACTCTAGAATACCCTGCAGCGCCCCCTGTGAACCGTGTGTGGTATTCCGCGGTGCCTGGTTGCAGTTTGAGAACCATGGGCAAAGGTACTTCTTCAACATACGTGGGAAAAATTGGCTTAGTCAAAAAGTAGGTATGTCAAATTAAAGTGAAAAAACAGTATTTTGAATCTAAAAACTAGTATTATCAAAAGCTTAGAAGGTTGAAAATACATTTGATGTTAGAAGAATGGCAAGTAATTAGTGAAAACAAAAAATATGTGTTGATCTCTGCTATGTGCCAGCTGCTGTTTAGCAGTGGAGACACTGTGGTGTACCGGGTGGACATGATCATCTGCCTTCATGGAAAGTAGATATAAATAGATACACACACAACTGCAATATACTGGGATAAGGATAAGGATGGGGCAAAAAAATCAGATAATAATAGATATAGTATATATTTTTATATAGTATATAATATATATTATTTATACATCAGTAATGTTTATTGGTTATTAATATTAAAATATTACTTATAATTAATATATATTGTTTTTCTATATTATATATATTTTAAATATCCATATTATGTATATTTTTATATGGATATATATGGATTTATATGGATTTTATGTGGATATATATCCATATAAGATATATATTATATATATCAATATAAAATATATATATGTATATATTTATATAGCCATATATATTTATATAGCCATATATAAATTTATATAGCCATATAAATATATATGTTTATATATATCAGGTTTCTTACTCTGATATTGTATATTAATGCTATGAAGAAAATGAGGATAGGATAAAGGGGCCTAGAGAAAGTGATGGAGAAGTTCTGTGAGAGCAAGCCTTGAAGTGTGCTCAAATTGCTGAAAGTCAATCTGCATAACTGGAACTCAGAGTAGAAGGGTGGGGTTGGGGTGGTTGAGGGTGAAGGGTAAGAGATAAGACTGAAGAAGGTCCTTGGTCTTGGCAAATCCCTGTTCAAGCAATTTAGCTTTGTCTCAGATGATCGGGATGGATTTTTCCACTTTAAGGATTACAAAATAAGAGAAAAAGTAACAGTATAATGTTATACTGTTTTAAAATAATTTTAACCAAAAAAAAAATCATTGTATAAAATAAGAACAGCAAGTTAGTTTGAGGTACAATTAGATCTTCCTTCTGTAAGAGCTGAGGCTTGGTCTCTAAGACCTGAGGTTCAAGTCCTATCTAACTCAGGTATAGTAAATCCAGATTTGACAGTCTCCTTCACAATACAAAGAAGAGGACATGTCATTTGACAAAGCCAGCTTGAAGCTTTCACTTTGGCTCAGCTACTTTGGTGCAGGGACATTCTGATGCAGCTTCAAAAACTTAAAATTTCAGGGACTTTTTTCATTTAAAAAGCTTTGTTGTTTGTACAGATTATAAAAATAAGTCATGGTATTGTAAAAGCTTCAGACAATAATTATAGAAAAATTATTCAAAATATTTAAAGTTATGAAAAAGGGTACTTAAGAAATATGTTTAATAAGATCAAAATCACCCATAATCCCATATCCAGAAAGAACCACTATATACATTTTATTTTTTTATATCTAATATATATTTTTTATTATATCTTAAGTTCTAGGGTACATGTGCACAATGTGCAGTTTTGTTACATATGTATACGTGTGCCATGTTGGTGTACTGCACCCATTATCTCATCATTTACATTAAGTATATCTCCTAATGCTATCCCTCCCCACTCCCCCCACCCCACAACAGGCCCTGGTGTATGATGTTCCCCTTCCTGTGTCCAAGTGTTCTCATTGTTCAATTCCCACCTGTGAGTGAGAACATGCGGTGTTTGGTTTTCTGTCCTTGCGATAGTTTGCTGAGAATGATGGTTTCCAGCTTCATCCATGTCCCTACAAAGGACATGAACTCATCCTTTTTTATGGCTGCATAGTATTCCATGGTGTATATGTGCCACATTTTCTTAATTCAGTCTATCATTGTTGGACATTTGGGTAGGTTGCAAGTCTTCGCTATTGTGAATAGTGCCGCAATAAACATACATGTGCATGTGTCTTTATAGCAGCATGATTTCTAACCCTTTGGGTATATACCCAGTAATGGGATGGCTGGGTCAAATGGTATTTCTAGTTCTAGATCCCTGAGGAATTGCCACACTGACTTCCACCATGGTTGAACTAGTTTACAGTCCCACCAACAGTGTAAAAGTGTTCCTATTTCTCCACATCCTCTCCAGCACCTGTTGTTTCCTGACTTTTTAATGATCTCCATTCTAACTGGTGTGAGGTGGTATCTCATTGTGGTTTTGATTTGCATTTCTCTGATGGCCAGTGATGATGAGCATTTTTTCAAGTGTCTGTTGGAGGCATAAATGTCTTCTTTTGAGAAGTGTCTGTTCATATCCTTCACCCACTTTTTGATGTTTTTTTTTCTTGTAAATTTGTTTGAGTTCATTGTAGATTCTGGATATTAGCCGTTTGTCAGATGAGTAGATTGCAAAAATTTTCTCCCATTCTGTAGGTTGCCTGTTCACTCTGATGGTAGTTTCTTTTGCTGTGCAGAAGCTCTTTAGTTTAATTAGATCCCATTTGTCAATTTTGACTTTTATTGCCATTGCTTTTGGTGTTTTAGACATGAAGTCCTTGCCCATGCCTATGTCCTGAATGGTATTGCCTAGGTTTTCTTCTAGGGTTTTTATGGTTTCAGGTCTAACATTTAAGTCTTTAATCCATCTTGAATTAATTCTGTATAAGGTGTAAGGAAGGGATCCACTTTCAGCTTTCTCCATATGGCTAGCCAGTTTTCCCAGCACCATTTGTTAAATAGGGAATCCTTTCCCCATTGCTTGTTTTTGTCAGGTTTGTCAAAGATCAGATAGTTGTAGATGTGTGCTATTATTTCTGAGGGCTCTGTTCTGTTCCATTGGTCGATATCTCTGTTTTGGTACCAGTACCATGCTGTTTTGGTTACTGTAGCCCTGTAGTATAGTTTGAAGTCAGGTAGTGTGATGCTTCCAGCTTTGTTCTTTTGGCTTAGGATTGACTTGGCAATGTGGGCTCTTTTTTGGTTCCATATGAACTTTAAAGTAGTTTTTCCCAATTCTGTGAAGAAAGTCATTGGTAGCTTGATGGGGATGGCATTGAATCTGTAAATTACCTTGGGCAGTATGGCCATTTTCATGACATTGGTTCTTCCTATCCATGAGGATGGAATGTTCTTCCATTTGTTTATATCCTCTTTTATTTCGTTGAGCAGTGGTTTGTAGTTCTCCTTGAATTGGTCCTTCACTTCCCTTGTAAGTTGGATTCCTAGGTATTTTATTCTCTTTGAAGTAATTGTGAATGGGAGTTCACTCATGATTCGGCTCTCTGTTTGTCTGTTATTGGTGTATAAGAATGCTTGTGATTTTTGCACATTGATTTTGTATCCTGAGACTTTGCTGAAGTTGCCTATCAGCTTAAGGAGATTTGGGGCTGAGCTGAGACAATGGGGTTTTCTAGATATACAATCATGTAATCTGCAAACAGGGACAATTTGACTTCTTCTTTTCCTAAGAATACCTTTTATTTCTTTCTCCTGCCTGATTGCCCTGGCCAGAACTTCCAACACTATGTTGAATAGGAGTGGTGAGAGAGGGCATCCCTGTCTTGTGCCAGTTTTCAAAGGAAATGCTTCCAGTTTTTGCCCATTTAGTATGATATTGGCTGTGGGTTTGTCATAAATAGCTCTTATTATCTTGAGATACGTCCCATCAATACCTAATTTATTGAGAGTTTTTAGCATGAAGGGCTGTTGAATTTTGTCAAAGGCCTTTTCTGCATCTATTGAGATAATCATGTGGTTTTTGTTGTTGGTTCTGTTTATATGCTGGATTACATTTATTGATTTGCATATATTGACCTAGCCTTGCATCCCAGGGATGAAGCCCACTTGATCATGGTGGATAAGCTTTTTGATGTGCTGCTGGATTCAGTTTGCCAGTATTTTATTGAGGATTTTTGCATCGATGTTCATCAGGGATATTGGTCTAAAATTCCGTTTTTTGGTTGTGTCTCTGCCAGCCTTTGGTAGCAGGATGATGCTGGCCTCATAAAATGAGTTAGGGAGGATTCCCTCTTTTTCTATTGATTGGAATAGTTTCAGAAGGAATGGTACCAGTTCCTCCTTGTACCTCTGGTAGAATTCGGCTGTGAATCCGTCTGGTCCTGGACTTTTTTTGGTTGGTAAGCTATTAATTATTGCCTCAATTTCAGAGCCTGTTATTGGTCTATTCAGAGATTCAACTTCTTCCTGGTTTAGTCTTGGGAGGGTGTATGTGTCAAGGAATTTACCCATTTCTTCTAGATTTTCTAGGTTATTTGCATAGAGGTGTTTATAGTATTCTCTGATGGTAGTTTGTATTTCTGTGGGATCAGTGGTGATATCCCCTTTAACATTTTTTATTGCATCTATTTGATTCTTCTCTCTTTTCTTCTTTATTAGTCTTGCTAGCGGTCTATCAATTTTGTTGATCTTTTCAAAAAACCAGCCAAGCACAAGGGGTCAGGGAATTCCCTTTCCTAGCCAAGCAAAGCTGTGACAGACAGCACCTGGAAAATTGGGTCACTCCCACCCTAATACTGCACTTTTCCAGTGATCTTAGCAAATGGCACACCAGGAGATTATATCCCACTCCTGGCTCAAAGGGTCCCACATCCACAGAGCCTCACTCATTGCTAGCACACAGTCTGAGATGGAACTGCAAGGGGCCAGTGAGGCTCGGGGAGGGGTGCCCACCATTGCTAAGGCTTGAGTAGGTAAACAAAGCGGCCAGGAAGCTCGAACTGGGTGGAGCCCACCACAGCTCAAGGAGGCCTACCTGCCTTAGTAGAGTCCACCTCTGGGGGCAGGGCATAGCCGAACAAAAGGCAGCAGAAACCTCTGCAGACTTAAAAGTACCTGTCTGACAGCTTTGGAGAGAGTAGTGGTTCTCCCAGCATGGAGTTTAAGATCTGAGAATGGACAGACTGCCTCCTCAAGTGGGTCCCTGACCCCCAAGTAGCCTATCTGGGAGGCACCCCCAAGTAGGAGCCGACTGACAACCCACGGCCGGGTACCCCACTGAAACGAAGCTTCCAGAGGAGTGATCAGGCAGCAACATTTGCTGTTCAGCAATATTCAATGTTCTGCAGCCTCCACTGCTGATAGCCAGGCAAACAGTGTCTGGAGTGGACCTCCAGCAAACTCCAACAGACCTGCAGCTGAGGGTCCTGACTGTTAGAAGGAAAACTAACAAACAGGAAGGACATCCACACCAAAATCCCATGTGTACGTCACCATCATCAAAGAGCAAAGGTAGATAAAACCACAGAGATGGGGAGAAAACAGAGCAGAAAAACTGAAAATTCTAAAAATCAGAGCACCTCTCCTCCTCCAAAGGAATGCAGCTCCTCACCAGCAACGGAACAAAGCTGGATGGAGAATGACTTTCACGAGTTGAGAGAAGAAGGCTTCAGATGATCAAACTTCTCCGAGCTAAAGGAGGAAGTTTGAACCCATTGCAAAGGAGTTAAAAACCTTGAAAAAGATTAGACGAATGACTAACTGGAATAACCAATGTAGAGAAGTCCTTAAATGACATGGTGGAGCTGAAAACCATGGCATGAGAACTACATGATGAATGCACAAGCCTCAGTAGCCGATTCGATCAACTGGAAGAAAGGGTTATCAGTGATGGAAGATCAAATGAATGAAATGAAGTGAGAAGAGAAGTTTAGAGAAAAAAGAATAAAAAGAAACGAACAAAGCCTCCAAGAAATATAGGAGTATGTGAAAAGACCAAATCTATGTCTGACTGGTGTACCTCAAAGTGACGGGGAGAATGGAACCAAGTTGGAGAACACTCTGCAGGATATTATACAAGGGAACTTCCCCAACCTAGCAAGGCAGGCCAACATTCAAATTCAGGAAATACAGAGAACACCACAAAGATACTCGTCGAGAAGAGTAACTCCAAGACACATAATTGTCAGATTCACCAAAGTTGAAATGAAGGAAAATATGTTAAGGGCAGCCAGAGAGAAAGGTCGGGTTACCCACAAAGGGAAGCCCATCAGACTAACGGCTGATCTCTCAGCAGAAACTCTACAAGCCAGAAGAGAGTGGGGGCCAATATTCAACATTCTTAAAGAAAAGAATTTTCAACCCAGAATTTCTTATCCAGCCAAATTAAGCTTCATAAATGAAGGAGAAATAAAATCCTTTACAGACAAGCAAATGCTGAGAGATTTTGTCACCACCAGGCCTGCCCTACAAGAGCTCCTGAAGGAAGCACTAAACATGGAAAGGAACAACCAGTACTAGCCACTGCAAAAACATGCCAAATTGTAAAGACCATCGAGACTAGAAAGAAACTGCATCAACTAACGAGCAAAATAACCAGCTAACATCATAATGACAGGATCAAATTCACACATAACAATATTAACCTTAAATGTAAATGGGCTAAATGCTCCAATTAAAAGACACAGACTGGCAAATTGGATAAAGAGTCAAGACCCATCAGTGTGCTGTATTCAGAAAACCCATCTCATGTGCAGAGACACACATAGGCTCAAAATAAAGGGATGGAGGAAGATCTACCAAGCAAATGGAAAACAAAAAAAAGGCAGGGGTTGCAATCCTAGTCTCTGATAAAACAGACTTTAAACCAACGAAGATCAAAAGAGACAAAGAAGGCCATTACATAATGGTAAAGGGCTCAATTCAACAAGAAGAGCTAACTATCCTAAATAGATATGCACCCAATACAGAAGCACCCAGATTCATAAAGCAAGTCCTTAGAGACCTAGAAAGAGACTTAGACTCCCACACAATAATAATGGGAGACTTTAATATCCCACCGTCAACATTAGACAGATCAACAAGACAGAAAGTTAACAAGGATATCCAGGAATTGAACTCAGCTCTGCACCAAGCAGACCTAATAGACATCTACAGAACTCTCCACCCCAAATCAACAGAATATACATTCTTCTCAGCACCACACTGCACTTATTCCAAAATCGACCACATCGTTGGAAGTAAAGCTCTCCTCAGCAAATGTAAAAGAACAGAAATTATAACAAACTGTCTCTCAGACCACAGTGCAATCAAACTAGAACTCAGGAGTAAGAAACTCACTCAAAACCACTCAACTGCATGGAAACTGAACAACCTCCTCCTGGATGACTACTGGGTACATAAGGAAATGAAGGCAGAAATAAAGATGTTCTTTGAAACCAATGAGAACAAAGACACAACATACCATAATCTCTGGGACACATTCAAAGCAGTGTGTAGAGGGAAATTTATAGCACTAAATGCCCACAAGAGAAAGCAGGAAAGATCTAAAATTGACACCCTAACATCACAATTAAAAGAACTAGAGAAGCAAGAGCAAACACATTCAAAAGCTAGCAGAAGGCAAGAAATAACTAAGATCAGAGCAGAACTGAAGGAGATACAGATATAAAAAACCCTTCACTATATGCACTTTAAAGTAGAAATCCCATTATCTTTTTCTATGATTTAATATTAACATATGAATTAATGTCATCCTATTTAGCCCAGTATCCCTTATCTTGGAGAAAATGCAAAGGCCTCCCTAAGATTTCTGTTAATTTTCAGTGCTTTCCAACCTGCCGGTCATCTCTAGTGCTGAGTTCCTTCTGCAGAGTTCTAAACCTCATTCACACATTATTCCCAGCAATTATCTTGTTCTACTTGCTCCACACTAATCTAGGCTTCAAAGTCAGCTCATTTCCTTCGTATTTCTGAACACCATCCTCCCAAAGATAGCCTGCACTGGACATACAGGTGTGTGCCAAACTTCACTATTTGGAAAGATAGAGAATTATATCTCAAAATATCCTTCAAATTGAATATTATTATCTGTTAGGAAAAATGACAAAAGATTTGGAAACGGGCAAAACCAATTACGGAGTGTCCTCTCAGTGCAATTCTAGGCATCTAGGAGCAGTCTCCAGGAATTGTCTGAATCCTTAGAGGTGTGGATCTCGGATTGTCTTTCTATTGACTAGGCTATTTTAGGAGTCTGTGAGAGGGAGTAGTAATTAAGATGTAGAAACAGAGTAATGCAAATAATTCTTGTTCAAAGAAACATTTAAATGTTGACTAGTAGAAATATAATTAATTTCATCATGCAGAAGAGATGCCAAACATTATAATATTTTGCATATATATTATTGTCCTATAGGATATTTACCAGTTTTGCATCTTAGCAAAATGATTTCTGCATTCCTCATTGCGTGTGTGTGTGTGTGTGTGTGTGTGTGTGTGTGTATGTGTGTTCCTCAAATTTTGCTTTGAACTGGTTTTTACGTCTTACTGGTTTCATGAAGAAGTTAAATACAATCTTTCATATGTGCTCATTTTATATTTGTATAAGAAACATGATTTTACTTATAACACATCCCTATTCTTAGTAGTCACCATCCACACTGCTAGACATTTCTCACTCTTCAACTTTCTCCAAAGGTTCCAGCCTTTTGCTATGTTCCTTGGCTTCCTTCACTTTCCTTTTTGCTCTGATGGACACCATTTCCAAATTCCCACATTCCTTCCTCTTCTTAGGGAAAAAAGCTTGGTTCCTTTACTGTTTCATAATCTCCTTGTGAATCATGCCCTTGGAACTTTATCTTCTCCCCATACATTGACCTGAACAGAGAAGTTTGATTCTTAAGATGAATTCTACTGCCAGCCTGTTGAAACTGTATCTTTAATCTTCCTTAGGGTGTGTGCATGAGTTTGAGTGTGTGTCTGTGTATGTAAGAGAGGGCAGAGAGACTAATTTTAATTGAGGTATAGAACCTTCAAAATGAAAAGAAGTCTTCAGAAAGAAGCTAGTTTGATTCTAGATGTATTAAGTATTTTTGTGCCTGGCCTTGAAGGTAGAGATGAACAAGAGACGGCTGGAAATTTTGACCTAGAATTATCACTCTGCAATGTTAAATTGGTTCAATCATGTCATATATGAGAGGTTCTAGCTAATTTTATTAGTATAAAAACAGTGATTTATGTTCTCTTTTTTAAATAATTTTGCTATCACTTCCCCAAGGGATAGAGTATGAAAACATAAATTCTAAAATTCATTGCTCTATCATTATGAAATGTCTGAAATTAAAAGATATTCTATTTGAGATGATGGATATGCTAACTACCCTGGTCTGATCACTTTATGTATTGAAACATCAGTGTGTACTCCATAAATATGTACCATTGTTATACATCAATTAAAGAACAATATTATAAAAAGCGTATCCTATAATAGGTGTGGCAGTGTGAGTGACATTACCCTACATTGTTTGCAAAGGAGTCAGCATCCTCCTAACTTTTGGGGTTTCTCAAGGCAATGTATTACTCCAGCACATCAGTTCACCGAACTGATGTTTCAATCTACCAGATCACCAAAAGTAACCTAGATACTTCAAATTTTCTTCTTCTGTTCGTAGAGGGCAAATATTTTCCCCATCTTCTCTCCACATCCCTGCTTAGACTCCTAAAGGAGGAAGCTTCTGACCAAACTTCCGCCTCCAGGAGAAGTACTTCCCTGGGGCTTCCTCTTGTCTCTGCATCCTGTTTTTCACTGAGAACAAAGCAGCTGAGTGATATTAAGCAAGATAACTGGTTTAGGAAAATAGACAACTACAGATGAAATATTAATTGAATTATGACTTTTTCTGACTCATTTCTTTACAAATGATAACAATTCTTGGTTCTCAGTTTTGGCATTTCCAGCTGCAATATGCATCTTAAAAAGAAAAAGAAATGATTGTCTCTTTCTGCCCTCCCTCTGCTCATGCCCTCACTATGATGGGCTTTTAAATGAGTGATGAGGGCCACAGGAGCTCGGCTTCCTGGGTGTCAACAACCCTGATGGCTCACATGGTGCCGAGATGCCTAAGTTAGCAAAAGGATGAACAGTCCAGCTGTAATCCCTCACATAGTATGTGGAAGGCTCTTGCTTGTATTATTACTGGGCTATGAGATAATTAGCCGATTTCTAAAGCATATCCTGTGCATTTTGTCCATTCAAAAAAAAATGTGTATTTTCCTCTCCTCTCCCTCTATCCTTTCAAGTGTCTAATAGTTTAGGAGAGTAAAAGTAACTTGACTTTCTGCCCCTCTCCCTGGGCCAGCCTGCCTCCTCCATCCAGTGCAGGGTCCCTGGAGTACTGCATCCCCATCTTCCTGCTGCATCTCTGCAACTCAGCAGCACTTATTAGCTACAGCACTTATTAGCTACAAAATAATTTCTTCTGGGGTACAGTTAGGAAGATTTTTTTTCAAACAACTGACAGCAACTGTGTTCTGCCTACCTCCAAACTTCCTGCCAAGTAGCAGACTCTATTTTAGATATTCCAATCTGATTCCATAACTTTTTACTTTTTTTAAGTATTAACTATTGCATTTTCGTCACTAAGACTTAGTCCCGACCATTTTTAAACTTCGGTTTCAAATCTGAATCAAGCTGACTCTACCATCCCCTTCTCCTTCGCCCCTCTTATGGAGGATTGAGTTTGGGGTGAAGTGGGAAGGGCTGTCTTTCATACCCCTTTCTTTCTTACACTGGTTACTCTGGTGTTGGGGAGGAGAGTGGAAAAAGCCGTTTTGTTTCACGTCAGTTACTTTCTTGGAGTAACTCTCTTTTTCTTTGTTGGTCATAAACAACCTTCCATCAGTGGTAGTCAGTTGCTCTTCTTGTTCTGTTGATGACCATCAGGGATCTGGCTTGTTGTCTCCAGACTCCCGTGGATGAGTACAGGCCCCAGAAGACCTTGCTGGTATGAAACTCAGTCTCAAACTCTCCCCCTAAAATCAGTGGTCCCTTGCAAGATTCAACTATATTTTGAAGCAGTCCCAACCAGAAGCCCCTGCCACATTCCTCTGGCATTTGAACCACACTACTGCACACTGACTTGGTCCCAGTGAACTTTTATCACTTAGTATCATCAATTTCTTGTCACCCTAATTTCAGGGCTCTGGTACCAGGTAGATGCCATAGTTTGTATTCTTTGGGAAATAGAAATTCAAGAGGGCAGTCTCTCTCTGACCAGGATGCTCTTTCTGCAGTTCTGGGAGCACGGGAGCAAGTCAACAAGACCTGCACTTAAGTGGTCATCCAATCTGGTTATAAGACATAGCGGGAGAGAGAATAGTGGCTCTTCAAATATATTCACATCCTTATCCCCAGAACCTGCGTATATGTTACTTTAAATGGCAAAAGGTATTTTGCAGATGTGATAAAATTAAAGAGTTTGAGATAGAAATATTTTCCAGGGTTATCCTAGTGGACCCAGTGTAATCAGAGAGGTCCTTCTAAGTGGGAAGAAGCTGTGAGAGGAGATATCATGATGAAAGCAGAGACTAAATTGAGGCATTTCAAGGATGGAGGAGGGGGTCAGCAGCTGGGAAATGCAGGTGGCCTCTACATTCTGCAGAGATAAGAAAAAAATCAAGGCAATGGATTCTCCTCCAAATCCCCTAGGAGGAATGCAGTCCTGCCAACCCCTTGATTTTAGTCCCTTGGACTTGTTTGGAACTTCTGACTTCCAGACCTGTGAGGTAATAAATTTGTGCTGTCTTCAGCTACAAAGCTTGTGGTAATTTGTTGTAGCAGCAATAGGAACCTCATACAGACATCAATAGCAACTTCTTTTTAAAACTCACAAAATTTACTAGTCAACTTAAGGCATCTAACAGCCAAGTACACTCTTGCCTCAAGGCATAGTAAGAAGGAACAGGTGACTTCTCTTTAGGAACACCTCCCTCCTCACAAAAGACCACCTCCCCTTACTCCCAGATATCTTCTTATTTTCTTGATCAAAGCTTCTTTAGCCCCAGAGCTGGCAACTCAGGCAAGATCTGGCTCTTTTCCAAGTGAACTCAGAGAGTTCATATCTTTCTTTTCAATAAGGCCCTAATTATCCAGTAGTCTCTTTTCTTCTTAACTCTGGGAGCAAGCAAGAAAATTCTCCATAGGTAGCTCACAGCATCCTGTTACACTATTTCTACTTGCCCCACAACTAAGGCAGTGTTCAAGGAGTTTAATACACATCATCACATTTAATCGTCACTAAAACCAGTGGCGTGCTAGTGAATGTTTAATAAGCAGCTGGAGAGGAGCCAGGGCACAAATTTGTTGCATTTGCCTCTTTCCATGGTATAACTATCCCACCAAGGCTGATTTCAAGCTACCAACATGATATCAGTGAACACAGAGTTGTGAAGGGATGTGCAGTAGCACACAATTATACAGTATTTCCATCATACTGATACAATCATAAATGACAACAACCACAGGAACACAGAAAATCATAAAATATAATAAAATAATTAGGAAGTGATGAGTTTTGCATGTGTATTATCTTTTACTTAATAAAATTTAATTGCAAATATATATAAGGTTTTTGTATATATAAATATATATAGACCTTTAGTTATATATAAATAAATACATATAAGGTTTTTATATATACAAATATATATAGACCTTATATATATTTGCAATTATACCTATATGTACATATACATATATGTATATACATGTGTATGTGTACATATATACAAATATATAGAGACCATATATATTTGCAATTATATATATAATTTAATTGCAAATATATATAATTATATATAATTTAATTGCAAATACATATATAATTATATATATATAAAAGTTTAATAATATCTGTGTTTAATAACTAGGTAAAAAAATTCTTTAAATTTCTGGAACCAGTTCTATCACATCACTGAAAAAGGGAAAACCTAAAATAGCTTTATTCTTTTATGTAAGTTCTGCAATAATTTCTAAAAATTAGAAAGTAGAAAAGCCAAGAATTAAACCCAGGACCTCTAAACCCAAATTCTATGTTATCACCTCCTCATTTTACTGCTATATCCTGAGTTGCAACATTGATCAATGTAAATTCTCAACCAAGATGTTATCTGACAAAATGTTTCCAAAATATAAAAGTCCAGGAACTACATTATTGTCTATCTGCCTCCTAGAAATTCATATTAACATTAGCATATTATGTGCACTGAAAAGTCTGGCTATAAGCAGAACTAGTTAACTTGTATTTAATTAACCCAGTCCATCCCAAATATATCTGACCAGAAACCTCCTCCGCATCCCCTTGTGATAGTACCAGTTAAATTCCAATAAAACTCATGTTCAGGGAGACCCATTTTATGCTATAAATATCAATTTCACATGTGTCCTGTCTCCCCCGGGATTTTCAGGAGCTTATTGAACAAATAAATTATAACCTGGTTATTCATTGTTCCCTCCCCAGCCCATGAGGGATTATACAGTACAGACTCCATGTAATTTTTAAAAATTGAATCAAATTCAAAGAAATGCCAGTCAGGAACAATGGAAATACAATGACATTCCCCTGAAGAAATAGTTTCCCTTTTACAAGATAGAAAAACACTTTGCTGATATATTTTAATTCAAGCTGATAATTTTCCCTAGCTATCATTATTATCTCCACTTTATGGATATTGAGTCCAAAAGAAATTAAATTTTGTCTAATAAAGGATTGTTTTCATTTTGCAGATTCTTCGGGTATACTTTAAATCAGTCAAGCAACAGAGCAAAAATATTGGAACTCTCAAATAGGGAATGTATGAACTAAACTATATTAGCACAGCACTTAGGGGCACTTTTCCTATTAAGATTATATTTTAAGAGTTTTGGCATGCTCCTTAGCATGCTAATTAGATGTCAATTTGATTTCCAGTGTGTCTGGCTATAAAATCATATGGTTTTTTAACATAAACAGCAGCACTCCAGGTATTTGTCAGCAAAAGTATAGCTTTACACTCACAGTCACCCAATATTTATCACCAGCTTGGTGGCAAGAAGTAATATTTATGGAGATTTTTATATATAATATAGTCTAACCTATTCTTTATTAATTTCATGCTCCCCATTAAGGCAAGATCATAAGAAGTTTAGAGAAAGAGATGAAGGATTGTCTGAAGGGAAATTTTAAGAGAAATCTTCACTCCTGTTAAATAACAGGACAGCCAATTCCTGCAGTGTTCCGTTTGGTATATTTCAGTGTCTTCTATTATACTTCTATTATACTTCTTTCTCCTTTATTTTTGTTTTATAATATTTTATCTTGTTGACTTATTTTTTAAATTAACAGCTTGCTTACTTTTTTGTTATTTTTAACTAATTGAAAGATGAGAGACATACAAAAACATGTACAACTCAGAAGAGTTCATGTTCGTGAATTTTCAAAAAATGAACGTGTCCACGATGCCAGCACTCAAGTCAAAAAACAGCATCCACCAACATCCTAGAAGCCTGCCTCATACCCTTTTGTTCACCACCCTCCTTCCACAAGTAACCTTTTATCCTGACCTCTACATTCACAGATTTGGCCTATTTTTATAGTTTATATATAAATAGAATCATACGGCATGTACTCTTTTGCTTCATTCACTCAACATTCTATTTGAGAAATTCGCCCAGGGGTGAGCTGGTAAAGTTTTGACAACTGGCTGATTTCAAGTTAGCAGCATGAAATCACCAGTCTCAGAGTTGGGAAGAGAGCTAATACAAGCAGGCTCCTGGCCAGCACTGAATTGATCTGTGTTGTTGGACGTGGTGTACTATGTTCATTCTTATTATTACAGTGCCAAAAATGTTACATATTTAATTATACATGCCAATGTATATTATCCTCAACTAAGCTCATCTCTAGGAAACCCATATGTGAAATGATTAGTTAGCTGTCTTGTAAGTAAATGAAGGCAGATTTTTGAATATAAACCTTTGGCTCAATAACATAGGAGACTTATTTTCCAGAGCTTTCTAAATTGCATCCAAGTGTTCCACATTCATAGGTCATACTTCTGACTGGGTCTTACAAATGCATTCTCGCATTAAACAATCAATTAAAAATTCAATTTTAAAAAAGTGCCTGTAGTAAAGGACACTGAATTTTGAGCTCTAACTTTGAACAATTCTTTATACTGGGGAGCTCTGCTTACCTGGACCCATCTATGTTAGGTCTAAAATTGAGGCTATCTCATTTTGAAGGGAAACATTTTATTTCCTACAAATCATATGATTATTAGAGGCTCCAGCTATAAAATATGAACAAATAATTTTTATTTCTACAGGACAAAAATGTTTTTGAAACATTTGTTCATGGCATTACACGATGTTCTTTTCACAAAGATCCATTGGAGAAATATCTTTCTGGTTTGTACTAATTGTGTTTTTCTCTTTTAGCACCAACTGCCAAAATCATTAGGACAAACCAGTGGATCACCTCTAGCAAAGTCACAGGACCTTGCTGCATGTATTTTGTGTTCAAACCCAACTCCTGGCTTCATCATCTCTTCCTTATTCTTATTTTCTTTTGTCTCATTTTCTTCATGCAGTTATTTAATTTTTTAATCTTCTATCGTCAATTAGGTTAAGCCACCCATATTAGTTCTCCGTTGCTATGTAACAGATACGCATCTATTGCTATGTAACAAACTTAGCAGCTGAGAACAACAAACATTTATTTTTTTTTTCACAGTTTCTGCCAGTCAAGAATATGAGATCAGCTGATGGTTCCGACTCAGGGTCTTTCAGAAGGCCACGATCCAAGTGACATCTGGGGTTGCATTATCTGAGGTTTGACTGGGGCTGGCAGTTCCACTTCTAAGCTCACTCACACGGCTGTTGGCTGAGACCCCAGCTTCGCAGCACATGGGTCTCTTCATAGGGCTGCTTATAGCAGGGTACCCGGATTTCCCCAGAGGAAGAGAGAGGGAAGGAGGATGAGACCAAGATAAAAATTTCAGGTTTGAATATCCTGACCTTGGAAACGACATGTCATCCATGAATGCAGTACCAGACCAACCTGGTTCAATGTGAGAAAGCAGTTCACAAGGGGATGACTATCAGTAGTTGAGATCACTGGAGGCCATTTTGGAGGCTGGCTACCATGTCCCCTAAATAGTCTCTGAAACAAGGTCAATGTACAAAAGTATGTGGTGTGAAATATGGGAATGGGAAGAGAGAGAAGCTTCGGGTAACTTTATTGTAGGTGTAATTTTATGTTTGTTCATGATTTATCTTATGAACTAAAGGTCATCAAGGCAACACAGACACTATAGATTTTTTGGTGGCGGGGCACATGAAAAGAAAGAAGACTAAGGGATTTGAAGTTTTAGCTGGTCTCGCAAAATAATAAAATGGTTAGCAACAAAAAGAATACTAGGGGAAATAATTTTATTATTTTACACCAGAAAAAGAAAAAAAAGTATTGTATATATGTATTAATTAAGATGTATTTGGTTACAAGTGTCAGAAAACTCAACCTAGATTGTCTTAAAGAAAAAAAATGGGGTGAGGGGTAGGGAGTAAGGCTGGCTTCCAGTGCAGCTGGATACAAGTTCAACTTCTCTCTCTCTCTCTCTCTCTCTCTCTCTCTCTCTCTCTCTCTCTCTTTCTCTCTCTCTCAGAGATTCCCATGCCATAGCTGCAAATGAGGTGGGTATCCGGCATTTTCATCTTCAGTAGTGGAGACCAACACTGTCTCATAATTTGTGGGACTCTCCAAGTCAGCATCAGCTTCAGTATAGGGATTGCCTCAAATAAAGACCTTAGAATGCCTCCTTTTGTTTGATTTGCAGCACTGCTGGTTGGGTGCTCAAACAGCCATCTCTTTCCCAGCCTCCCTTGCAAGTGGGTGTGGCCAAAGACGTGGCTGACAAAGTACAGCTTCAGATTTCTAGGAAAGGGTGAAGGTACTGCTGACCTTCGGCTCTCCTGCCTGTGAACGTAGCTCATTGACATTACATCTGGTACTGCAGATTCCACTTGGGAACTATGAGACAAAAACTGTGAGACTGAAAGGCAGCAGAACTAAGAAGGGCAGAACTAAGAACCTGGCAGTGCTGGCTACAGCTGAACCAACGCTAACAACCAACCACCCACCCTCAGCCTTGTTAGGGGGCAAACAAACCTGGATTTGGATTTGGCTAAGCCATCTTTTTTTTTTTTTGGTTTTGTTTTGTTTTGTTTTGTTTTTTGAGACAGAGTCTTGCTCTGTCACACAGGCTGGAGTGCAGTGGCGCGATCTCGGCTCACTGCAACCTCCACCTCCTGGGTTGAAGCAATTCTCTGCCTCAGCCTCCCGAGGCTAAGCCATCTTTAAGGAAGGGTTCATGGAACTTACAGCCAAATATATACATTAACTAAAACAGGTGGAGTGCCAGGGTAGAAGTTTAAAAACCATCAAACTGACCCACGGCAGCAGCACAGGCGTGAAGAACCCTGGGATGTGGTTTCCCTAAGGTGGGAGCTGCTGCACTTTCTCAATCTCAGCATTCAGCCATTTGGGCAGAAGCTTCTTGCCCAAAGGACAACAGCCCTTGTGACCCAGAAAAGGCAAAGAAGTCCACAACGTGACAGTCCTGATGGCTGTATTGGTGCTAGAAATGCAGATTTACTGAAAGCAATTGTATGATATCTAAAGAACTCAGAAACTGAGCAAGCTTGAAAAAATGCCTTAGAAATCACGCCCCAGTGATCTGGAAGTAATGGATTAAGGATAGGTGATTAGGATCAGCTTGTGATGTATTATTTCATCACATTATACTCTCACCATATGCTCAGGCAATTATAGCCCCAGGAAATACTTATATAGGAATAGAATGAAGCAATCTGAGATGCTGGTGCCTTGAAGAAGGGTTGACTCTCTAGATGTCATAGGCAGGGCTGAGCATGACTTATCAAAGCAGTACAGCTATAAAAATTATGAAACTAAATTCTGCAACAAGTAAGTGGTTACCTAAATGGCATTTAAAACCCTGACATGACCTTGCTTTGTCCCTCAGCATCAAACAGAGCTTTCATGGAGCACCAAGTATTGGACCTAATTTTAAAGACAGATATGAGGATTTGGGGAAGGAAATTGAATTTTAAAAATCAAGATGAACAACTTTGGGAAATATCTAATTTTTTAAAGGCAGAAAAACAAACAAACCGTGCTCAGTGTGCCTAGAGAAAAGGAGGATGCTATGGTATGATTTTTAATAATCAATCATCTCTAAACTTATGATGTGCTCTTATAACAAAATCAGAATGCCATTCAATTCTGCTCCTCTTCCTTGGTAGTCAGAACTTCATAAAAGCATTACTTGGGGTGGGTGTCTGTTGTTTTGTTTCCTCAACTAAATTATGCTCTCCTTCCTAGGGAAAGAGTGTCTCACCAAGATGTGATCAGTGCTTCTCATTTCCTCTCCTGGAGAGTTTCTAAGATATTAGTTCTTTGTTTCTAAGAACTGGTTCTGCTTTACCATAGCAAAAGGGTTAACACGTTTTGTGTGCCTTGTACAATGGAGGATCAAAGTCTAAAGAGCAATGGAGTGGAAACCCAGAAAGAGAATTGGAGGGAAAGATGAGAAGAAGGGAGGATATCTGATCCTGTCCCTGAGGGACCTCATAGGAGACCCTGGTGCTGGAATACATGGCCCTCAAAGGGGCACCCTGCAAAAGTCCAGATGCCCCCAGAACTGACTCTGGCCCTGTGGAAATCTGGAGACAACTTGCCTGAACCCTAGGAGCCTGGAACCAGCCATCTTGCAAACCTCAGGATCCTGCCTGGCAAGTTGCTCAGTGAGCAGACGTAATGGTCCTCAGGTTTAAGTCTACACACTCCAAATAACCTCACTGGATAGGAGTCCCTACCACTCCAGGCCTAAGGGACTTACCAGATGAAGTAGGAGCGTCTCCTGTACATGACTTTCAAACTGGGAGACCTACAGCTGGAAACAAGGAGGAAAAACACCCTGGAGACAAAGTCAAAAAGAACTTACTCCTATTAAAATGTGATCTAGGAATTTAAGCAAAACGTAGATTCTTGACAATGAGCACTGTCAGATATTAGAATGCATCAAAGAAATGCAAATTATTTGTCTTGAGAATCAAGAAATAGATTGCAGGGATTAGTTTAATCCTACCTCACCTCTTAGCAGGTGACTATTTTAGATGTTTTTATTATTTTTTTCCTCAGAATTCCTTATTTTAACTAAAGAAGGGATTAAAAATGTTTTGTTTACATATTTATATTTTCCTTCCTTCCAAAAAAGAAAAGAAGATTTGAAGTGATTTACAGAAATACATATAATATTGCAAAAAAGTAAGAATATAAAGAAATTATGGTGAAAGAAGTATTCAAGTGGAATGGTGAGATAAATTTTTTAAAAATGTAAGAAAATAGGTTGACTTTTGCTTAGCTGGGAGAGTAAATCATGCCAACAGACATAGCTGGTCAATTTGTAGTGGTAGGTTCACTGCAACACAGTGTCCCTGAAAAATTAGTAAATTTTGGCAAAATGTCTGCAGTACTATCAAAAACACTTTCTCACTCCCCATAGACTAATCCAATACTCAGAACTACAGTGCTCCAAAACAGCATGACTTGTCAAGACGCCTGGACATAATTCTCCCGTTTGAACTAAGAACTAACAAACCCAGAGATTCACACAGCCCGACGTGATCCTCAATTCCCAACAGTCAATCCTGGCCGTGGGAGGTTACCCATATGGTCACAGGAGTCTAGTCTTCCAGTTTCTTGTTATGCCTGTTTTCCTCTCTTCTTTTCCTATATCACTTTCTTTCAGAGAGAGGTCCTGATCAACAACCTGCGTTGAAGCACAGGCAATGGAGCCAGATGATATTCTAGAATCCCTTCTATTTTTTGTTACTAAAGGGAATGAATAAACAATAAGTCAATAAGCACTATAGACTTGTTAATTGCTGAATTAATCAATCAGAAGGGGCAGGAGAAAACCAGAGATTGGGTTTGCCTGGGCTGGGTTCCTACAACACTGTGTTTCCCCAGATCCTTTTACAGGCTCCTTCCCTTTCGCCACTTCCTGCTTACCGGGTCCCCAGAGGTGGGCTGATCACCAGGGAGGGGCTTCCTAAGCACCTGCTCCTGAGAACCCTGAGTCACAATATTCCTCCTGCTTGAAATTCTGCCCTCCTCCTTTCTAAACATCTCAGATCTACACCTTTCTTCAAGACTCATTCCTTCCACAAAATCTTCCTTCATGTCCAAAGCTACCCTAATTAATCATTCTGCTGAACCTTTATAGCATTTAGTCAGTTCAACTCCTCACAATTTAATACTTAGCTGTGGCCTTAAACTTTTCTTTAGTTGTTTCATTTATCTAAGTCTTCTTTTCCCAAAAGCATCATAAACTCATCAGGATTAGATCTCCAGGACTGCACGATGCCTCCGCCTTTGATCAGGCCTATTGGACAGGGCCCTGCGGAAATGAGTGATGTGGTTGTGAACTGAATAAGAAAATGAGTAAGACTCCTTATAGAGGGAATGTGCTTTGGAAACTGGGACTCAAGTGTGAAGGAATCTTCCCCCATTCCTCCCCTTCTCTTTGTTGTTAATAGTAGTTGATTAATCCTTTTAATGCTCATGTTAAGTGGCCCGAATACAGCAAACCCATCCTTAGTGAAAGACAGTTCCACTCCTTGGTGGTAAAAGTGCTGGGGACTTTGGCAGTGACTCGGCAAGCACAGCACCAGCCTTGCCTGTGTACATCAGGGCCCTGCATCCCTGAGGAAAATGTTTCCCTGCAGATGACTCACCTCCCCTGTGGTCAATGTTCCAATCTTTTTGCTGTGGTTTTCCAGCAACTTCATAGTAGCTTTTCTATCTCAGCCTTAAGCATGGGCTCTACAATTTTAAAAAGTTCATTAGTTTTCTGCCTAAATAATGTCAGCATTCAAATGCCAGTGGGTGGCATTTGAAAAACAAGTTAGTAAGAAGGTATAAAAGGTTATATTTTCCTTCAGTGAGAATTAGCTCTGTTTAAAATAAAATCTGCTAGTAATTACTATGAAGTGTATCATTTTGTCTCCTTCAGTTTAGCTTCAATGTGTTATGTAGTATGAAGCTTTTCGACCTTTGAAGTTTTTTTTATTTGATTCACTGAGGGTCCTGGCATGTATAAGGATTTAGATTAGTATCTCCATCCCCAGGAAATACAGACTTCTAAAAGATAATATAGAAAGAGCTATTGATAAAAATTTCTGCTCAAAAACCATATAAACATGAACCATGTTATTTCATAACTTCAGGAAAAGGACACAGAATTCTGAGGTGCCAAACTGACATTGAGCTCCTGAGTTCTTATAGAACTGCAGCTACCAGATGGGAACTCCTTCAACCTTCCTTTTCTCATATAATAGGAAAAAAAAAGGTGTCCCTTAGCCAACTATAGGCCAGTTCTTCACATCTGCTAAATTGTATTTCTTCTTCCATCTTAAAGATCTCACTCCAGCCACCATATCTTCAACTGCTCCCTCACTACCCATTTCTTCCTATGAACATTCTAACATCATAAATTTGTTCTATTTAAAACAAAAACAATAACAAGAGCAATTACTTTCTCCCTTCACTTCCTTCTTTTCTTCTTCCTAGACAGTCTCATCTGCCCAGTTTTAAATATTGACAACTTCCAGTGTCCTCTCTTTAGCCCAGCCTCTCTTCTTACCTCCTGCCCTACTGCCATTTCCATTGACACTGCTCACAGGCACCTCAGGTTTGTCCAAAAGGATACTTGTGACCTTGCCTCACTGTCATCCCTCCCGTGTTCCCTATCTCAGGAAATCACACCACCTATTATTCAAAGCAGTGACCTGCAAAGTATTTTTTGTCATGACCCCCTCATTCTCCACCTGCAAACACTCACCTAGTGTTGTACATTCTATGATCAGCTCACTTCACTTTATTTCTACTGAAAAAAAAAAATAAGGAAGCCAAGTGCCAAGATACTTTCGGACTAGTAAGTCTCCAATACCCCTTAAAACAGATGTTGCATGGAACTTCTTTGCCTTACTGTTGGCAACTGGGACCCAAAGCTGAGGACTTAAAGATGTAAAATACATCTCATGATAGAAAGTGACAAAATAGTTGACGACAGACACTCCTTCCAGAGTTATTAAGTGGTATCTCCACTGGTTCTGCTATGCCCAAACATTATCCTCATTGTCTCCAAAGACAAGAGAAGAGGATGAGAAAAGAGAATCATTCAGTAGATTGTAAGCCTACAGGGATGCAATGTGGCTTGTTCCTTGAGCCTCCATCAGAGAAGAGCATTCTTTCTCCCCATGTTCCAAAATAAAGTGATGGTGGCCTTCAGAAAATCACTCAGACATTAGAGAGGTTGGCAAGAAAAGGAAGGTGTAAGTCTAAGTTCAACAGCAGAAAATAGAAAACCACCTAGCTAGTTTAATAAGAATGAGAAATTACAGCAGAATAAACAGTTTACTGAATCATTGTTGGGGATAATAAAAAACGCTCTAAGGGACACCAAAAAAAACCACTCAGGAGGGTCCGACTGCCAAGGCCACTGCTGCCCCCACAGTGATAAAGAAGATGTACAAACCAGAAGCCATGCTACATCCATCAGTTCCAGGAACACACCACCTCCACCGGGACCCACGGAAGCAAGAATGGATGTCTGACACTGTGGCTTTCCTTTCCACGTGCTCAGTTCCCCAGTTAGTGGAGTAATACATAGCATGGGCATGTCTGTATTTTTGTTAGTATTTATGTACATACTCGCACATATGTAAATATAAATTTCTAGACATATAGAGGTTACATCTGAAAGTTTATATTGAATGGTTGTATTACTTTAAAATTTTGCTGAGGAAAAAATATGGCAGAGGATATACAAGTACACAAGTAGTCGTTTGTGTAGTCCTCAGAAGCTTTTTTTCATTTTGTCTGTTTCCAAAACTTTCAGAAATGTTTTCATACTTTCATTAATTTTTTTAATAATTGAAAACATATCAGACTTTTTTTTTCTTTTTTTTGAGACAGAATCTCACTCTGTCACCCAGGCTGAACTGCAGTGGCCTGATCTTGGCTCGCTGCAACCTCCACCTCCCGGGCTCAAACGATTCTCATGCCTCAGCCTCCCACATAGCTGGGACTACAGGTGTGCGCCACCACGCAGGGCTGATTTTTGTAATTTTAATAGAGACGGGGTTTTGCTATGTTGGCCAGGCTGGTCTCGAATTCCTGACCTCAAGTGATCCACCTTCCTCAGCCTCCCGTAGTCCTGGGATTACAGGCATGAGCCACCACGCCCAGCCCAAAATATCAGACTTTTTTTTTTTTTTTTTTTTTTTTTTTTGCGACAGAGTCTCACTCTGTCGCCCAGGCTGGAGTGCAGTGGCGCGACATGGGCTCGCTGCAAGCTCCGCCTCCCGGATTCGCGCCATTCTCCTGCCTCAGCCTCCCGAGTAGATGGGACTACAGGCGCCCGCCACCGTGCCTGGCTAATTTTTTGTATTTTTAGTAGAGATGGGGTTTCACAATGTTAGCCAGGATGTTCTCGATATTCTGACCTCCTGATCTGCCCGCCTAGGCCTCCCAAAGTGCTGGGATTACAGGCGTGAGCCACTGCGCCCGGCCCAGACATTCTTAATAAAAACTCAAGCAGAGGTTTGCATTTACCCTTCAGGGAAACTCTCAAAAACTTCAAGTCCCACGGAACGGGCCTGTGAGACGATCTTAAACCCTGACTCTCTTTCAATATAACTTCTCTGGAGCTTACTTGCCATGGTATTTTAATGTGGTCTCGTGTTTCCCATACTCTTTCTTGGGCATGGGGACCTCATGCTATTATTATAAAATCGCAACTATATATTAATTCATTCAGTGAATATTTATGGATGCCCCATGTGCCACACTGTGCTGGACAATACAGATCGGGACAGTCAGCAAGACACAGTTCCTTCCCTCAAAGAGTGTTCCCTTTGGAAGAAGAAGCATGTGCTGTGCTGTCCCAGGGAGAGCAACCCACAGATCATCAGGGGAGCACAGGGGAAGAGGGTCTACCTGGGCTGGGGAGGGAAGGGGCTGCAGCCAAGCCTCCCTAGAGAGAACGATATCCACGCCAAGTGTGGAAGGATGAGTTTCAGGTGACAGAGCGCACAGGGGAAAGGGAAGGGAAGAGCCAAGGATATCTGGGGCTTGTGCAAAGGTGCACAGCAACAGTGGGCAGAGCTGCTGGACAGAAAGCGGGGTGTGGCTGGACGTGAGATTGGGAAAGCCAAATCTCCAGTGGGTGGGGCAGGCCACGAAGGGCAGGCTAAGACATCTGAATGTGATTCAGAGAGTAAGAGGGATTCACTGAAAAGTTTTAAACCATTAAATAAAACAAATTTACAATTTGGAATTTCCACTGCTATGTGGAGAGTAGATGTGGAGAAAGGGACAAGATAAAGACAGAGGGGTGGGGAGGAGTAAATAGACTTGAGATGTTAAATGAGTGACATTAGCAGGGCCTGCTGAGCAATGGACTGTAGTACATGAGGGCAAAGGAGGGCTCAGGAATGACTGTAGATCTGTGATATGTGCCCATCCTAACACAGCAGGCCAGCGTCGGAAGGGGGCTTAAAACTATGCCCTCTTTTCTTTCCATTATAAAATGGTTAATCCTATAGTTCCAGACATTATTGTTTTTATTTTTTAAATTCCTGTGTGTCTTATTGATCACCTTGGGAAACTGATTTGAACGTAAGATGCACTGTGTTCTCAAGTACTGCGAAGCAATAAATTCAATTACTTTGGGATGAGTTTCATTTTCTTCCTAATTTATTATGTGTTTCCATTTAATCCAAACATTGGAGGGCTTCATGGCTCTGGCATAAATAGCAGTTTGTTCTTCCAGTGTGATTTTCTATTGTTTAAGAATCAAGCAACCTTGACTTCCTAGCTCAAAGTCTAATCCTCACAGATAATTTTTAACAGATGCCTAAAGCACATAGATTGTCAGTTCCAAAACAGGTCTTATTTAAAGGTTTCTCTGTATTTATTCTACTGTTAACACTTAAATAATTGTTCCTCTTTATTCTCTCATGAGTATAAATGTTTACCAGATGAAAGAAAAGAAAAGAAATCATCAAGAAATACAAATGAGCTCACCTTGGCTTCTTTGATGAATAAACTGTTTTTTAAAAAATAGAAGTTAGGCCCGACATGCTGGCTCACGCCTGTAATCCCGGCATTTTGGGAGGCCAAGACAGGCAAATCTCTTGAGCTCAGGGGTTCAAGACCAGCCTGGGCAACATGGTGAAACCCTGTCTCTACAAAAATACAAAAAAAAAAAAAAATTAACCAGGCATGGTGGCGCAGGCCTGTGGTCCCAGCTACTCCAGAAGCTGAAGTGGGAGGGTAGCTTGAGCCCAGGAGGTGAAGGTTGCAGTGAGCTGAGATTGTACCACTGCATTCCAGCCTAGGTGACTGAGCAAGACCCCATCTCAAATAAATAAATAAGTAAATAAATAAATAAATAGAAATTATGCTTGATGTTACTATGTCTTATCTATGCCTAGAAAATATTCTGTCTGATTTAATTTATTGAATTTCTATATTTCTTCCTATAATATTCTAAAATTTATGTAATTTCTGAAATTGTTTAATATTGCTGCCCCAAATTGCATATATTCTTCCATAGATAGCACATAAAATTTTTTATAGGTACAAATACATCTATTTCCTTGTCTGCACTGGCAACCTCCTGGTTCCTCTTGGGCTCTTGTATATGTCACAATCATTTATTAAATATAGTAGCATTAATTTCCCACCTGCTATTAAGGAGCACTCCCCTTGGGATTCTGTAGAGATAGAAGGGACTTGTGTAATAAGTCTTGTCCTGTTTCTAATGACAGTTTCTTATTTGACTGGTAAAGTGGTAGAAGGAGTGCCAGCTCAGTCAGGGACCTGAGCTGGAAGAGGACACCCTGAGCAGGCGAGTACTGTCCAGTTGAGAAGTGCAGGAAGTGCCCCGCCAAGAGCTGACCCATGTGGGCAAGGTTGTGACACTGGGCAGGAGTTGATACCAGCACAATAGGAGAGGGCACAATTAAAAGACATTGTGGCAAAAGTCTAGGGATAAAAACAATTTTCATTTGGAGCCTTCCAGGACTCCCTAAAATGAATCTAACCACACTGCACAGGCTGGCTCTTTAAGCAATAAAATGGGATCATGTCCATGGCCATTGATTTTGCTTAGTCCTGGCCATTTGCCTAGAGGCTCAAATGTTAAACACTTTATGCCAGAAACCTTTAATTGCATCAAATGCGGGAAGGCAGTTTCTGCAACCTTATTTTCTGGGTCTTGTGAAAGCATTATCTTTGACTGTAAGTCAAAACCTAAAATTCATATTGTTCTTCCAAAAGAGTTTTAAATTTGCCAAAGTCTCTTTACAAATTTAATTGGTAAACTTAAAAAATTTTTCTCTTGTATCAAATCAAATAAACTTAATACCAAGTAAGATCGCTATATAATATATCTATACAGAGCCACCAATATCCAGTTCACTACAAGACCAATCACATTAGGGGCATTTACCCTTTTCCTACTAGTGTCCTCTCTCCCTCTTTAATTCTAGGTGACCAAAAAGGGAAAGAGAGAGAGAGGAAAGTGAAAAGTTGCCTACACAAATGCAAGTCCTCAAACCATTGGTCAGGATTGACCTTAGTAATGGAGGGAAGAAGCTTTGAGTTTACTTTATGCTACCAAAATTACACTGTTCATATAGCTTATAGATCCTGAAAAGCTACCACATATTTTCAAACCACCATAGCTTTCCAACTCCCAGAAAGTTTCTTAAATTTAGCACTCCTCTGTCTACAACCCAAATCCAGACAAGATTCTCATCTGAAATAGCTTACTTTTGTACAGAATTTGTGTGGGCATGATAATGTCCTTGTCCTTCCAAATCCCGGACCTCCAGGAATATGCCAGATTCAGTAAAGAAAAAGCTCAGAACCTGTAATACCTAGGTCCTCAGGGTACACAGGAAAGATCAGATAGTGTCCCTCCCATTGGTGAGTTACAATTCGAGGAGAAAATAGATAATGAGGAGCACAAATATAATTTTAAAAGGTTACTGAGAAAAGGGGTTAGTTTAGAGGTTGAATCGGTATTGGTATAATAATATACCAATGTATTGAATTGGTATAATAATACAGATATACAAATAATGAAGTTCTAAAGAAAGGTATATTTCCTTGCTTTAAAATCTTATGATTAAAAGTATATACTGACCTCCAGTTTCTGTTTAGGAATGTAAGAAGCTGAAATTCGCCACTCTATCCTAACAACAAGAAAGAGCTGAACAAACTGCAAAATCAATAATTCTTGTATCTATCAGAGAGGTGTAGTCACAGAGCAGATGACTTTCCAAAAACTGCAGAGACCCACAGGCAAATGCCAAAAATCACAGCTTGCCAGAGCTGAACCCCATGAGCAAGAACTTCCTTGGGAGCCAGTGCTCAAGTAGGGAAAGTTGCCTGTAATTGATGAATTGCTGGAGGCTCAGTATGGACAAATCTGAGAGATGAAACTCCAGACCTACTAAGTCATTGAAAGCCCCCAAATTTCTGTGAGTTTTACCTCCAGAAACTGGACCAGGTTCCCATAGTAAATATTGGGGGAAAATCCCATCATGCTCCTGGCAGCGGGAGGGGAAAAGAAACAATTTTGCAATACACCAGTGCATTCTGTTCTTCTGAATAAGTCTGTCCCAGGAGAAACTGCTTAAGCACTGACATAGAACATAATCTGCTGGGGTGTTATCAGAGCCTAACTGACTTGGGGGAAAGAAAACACCCAACTCCAGCTCACTCTAGCCATCTTGCCTCATCTAAAGGTGGAGGAAAATTGAAAAATGCTTGTGAAATTCACAGTCCAGGGGTATAAGCTCACCAAAAGGCTAAGGCCTAATTATAGAACTATAGAATACTCCCCCTCTCCCTCGCACACTCCCTACAACCACATTACTAAAGGCCTATTCATACCATTTCCTTTTACGCAGTACATCATGTCTGGCTATCAAGAAAAAATTATAAGACATACTAAAAGGCAAAAAAAATCATAGTATGAAATAACAGAACAAGCATCAGAACCAGACTTAGAGATGACAGAGATGTTGAAATTATCACACAGAAATTTAAATTGAGAATGAACTAAGATGCTTAAGGATCTAACAGATAAAGTAGACAGCATACAAGAACAGATAGGCCATGTAAGCAGTGAAATCGAAATTCTAAGAAAATAACAAATATAGCCCAGGCACGGTGACTCATTCCTGTAATCCTAGCACTTTGGGAGGCTGAGACAGGCAGGTCACTTGAGGTCAGGAGTACGAGACCAGCCTGGCCAACATGGTGAAACCCCGCCTCTACTAAAACACAAAAATTAGCTGGGTGTGGTGGTGGGTGCCTGTAATCCTAGCTACTTGGGAGGGTGAGGCAGGAGGAGAATCGCTTGAACCCGGGAGGCAGAGGTTGCAGTAAGCCAAGATTCTGCCACTGCACTCCAGCCTGGGCACAGAGCAAGACTTTGTCTCAAAAAAAAAAAAAGAGAGAGAAAGAAAAAGAAAAAGAAAGAAAAAAAAACTAAGTGCCAGAGGTTAAAAAGATTGTACTGTAGGCTGAATGTTTGTGTCCCTCCAAAATTCATATGTGGAAACATAATGCCCAATGGCATGGTACTAAGAGGAGAGGACTTCGAGAAGTAATTAGGTCATAATTCTGGAGTCCTCATGGACTGGACTGAACTATTTAAACTGTTGAAAGGAAAACCCCACCAAGCTAGAATTCCGTACTCTGTGAAATTATTCTTCAAATAAAGAGAGAAATAAAGACTTTCTTAGATAAACAAAACCTGAAGAAATGCATTGCCAGGAGACTTGCCTTGCAACAAATGTGATGTGGTTTGGCTGTGTCCCCACCCAAATCTCATCTTGAATTGTAATCCTTATAATCCCACATGTCAAGGGAGAGACCTGGTGGGAGGTGATTGGATCATGGGGGTGGTTTCCTCCATGCTGTTCTGGTGATAGTAAGTGAGTTCTCACTAGATTTGATGGTTTTATGTGTTTGAAAGTTCCTCCTTCACACGCTCACACTCTCTCCTGCCACCTTGTGAAGAAGGTGCCTGCTTCCCCTTCCACCACGATAGTAAGTTTCTTGAGGCCTCCCCAGCCATGCGGAACTGTGAGTCAATTAAACCTCTTTTCTTTACAAATTACCCAGTCTCAGGGATTTCTTTATAGAAGTGTGAGAAGGAACTAATACAAAATGTTAAAAGAAATTCTTTAGAGAGAGGAAAAATGATGATTAGAAAGTTGAATCTACATAAAGTTGGAGAATAATAAATTAAGATAAAATTTAAACGTTTGTTTTCTTAGTCAAACAGATAGCAATTCATTCAAAATAACAGCAACAATATATTTGATTATACATATTTATATTTATGCTTGTGCATAAACAAAATGGATGACAGCAAGATACAGGGGATAGGAGGAAAGAATTAAAACACTGTGTCTAATCTGCTGTTAATCCAGCCCAATGATTTTACAAATTTAGATACTATATTTTGAAATTCTATAAATTTTCATTTGATTCTGCTTTCATATTTGCTCAATACTTTTTAATATTTTCTAATTTTCTGCCAAATTTCTCAATATTATCTTTTATTTCTTTGAGTATATTAAGTGTACTAATTTTAAAATTTGGGTCTTATAATTTCAAGATCTGGAGCCCCAGTGGATCTGTTTCTATTTTTCTGTTGTTCCTATGTTATTCTACTTCATATTATTTTGGATTCTCATATGTCTGGGGGGATGTTTTTTATAGTTTGTTGGACATTTAATTTGAAAAATATTATTTGTAGAAATAATTCAATTTCTAGAAAAATAGTGTTTTCCTCTGGAAACGATTGAAAGTTATTTCTTAGAAATTTCTAGTAATCTGGGACATCCTTAATCCAATGCCATTGACTGAAATGATACAGAGTTAAGCTGCATTCCCTTCAAGGGCTTTTCAGGACTTTTAAATGCTCAGCACCTCAGTAGCCTCTTCCCAAAGTGGAAAAATAACCCCCAAGGAAAACTATATCTTGAAGTGTGCTCACTTCTCTAGTTTTCTCTCTTTTTCCTGATGTTGGCTTAGTAATTCTCTTACCTGTTTATCAACTCTCTGGTAACTTCGAGCTGGTATTGATATTAACATTATCTTTTTTGTACTTCTTGTCCTCAGCTATAAGTATGTCTCTGCTATTACAGAAAGTGGAATACCTATATTTTGTGATTATATTGTCATGATAACTATATTGTTTTAAGTCACAATAATGAATCCCATATGTTGCATCAGATTAATTCCAAAACCCCATTATTCACTAACAAACATTCAGTATTTACTTTGTTCCAAGTACTGTTTTAGATTTGGGGAATGTAAAAGTGAATAAAATAGGCAAAAATGCCTGCTTTGATGGAACCTACGTTCCAGTGAGGAAAGAAGGAACAGCAAAACAAGTAAAATGTATGACATGTTATCAAATTGCTGAAGAGTCAATATAATGTAGGAAAAAAGGATTTTAAGTGTTGGGGTGGGATTCTGATGTATTACATAGAGTAGCCATTGAAGGTACATTTGAATAAAGATCTGAAGAAAGTGAAGAGAAGAACCATGTAGATAGTTGGAGGAAATACATTCTAGGGACTAAAAATAGTGAGTACACTGTCATCCCTGAGCTGGGAGCATACCTAGAGTATCAAAGGAACATCAAGGAGGTGAGTACAGCTGGAACATTCCAAACCCCAGGAAAGTGGTGAACAGTGAGGTCAGGGAGGTGAAAGGGCCCAAGTCACATAGGGCCTTGCAGGCCATTGTAAGGATGCTGGCCTTTACTCTGAGTCATGTGGCAAGTCAGTGAAAAGGGTGAGCAGAGGGGTGACATGACTGATATTGTATCAGGCTAACCCTGAAAGTTGCTCTTCAAAAAGATTGCAGAGGGAAAGATACAGAAACAGGGGCATCAGTTAAGAGGGTCCTGCAACAGTCTATCACGATGATGGTGGTTTGGGACAGTTTGGTGATAGTTAGATACTGAGAAGTGATTAGATTCTGATTAATTTTTGAAATTATACCAACAGGATTTGTTGATGAGTAGGATGTAGAATGGGAGAAACAGAGAAAAATTCCTTGACACCAAGATTTTTGTCTTGAGCAACTGGAAGAATGGAATTGCCATTAACTGTGGTGGGGCACCCTACAAGAGGAGATGTTTTGCTGGGACTAGTAGGAGGTCATTTGAACATATGACATTTAAGATGTCTATGAGATATCAAGTAAGCATTATGAAGTTCAGTGGTTAAGACTGTGCTACAGATATAAATTTTGGACTCTCTGGTATAAATTAGATATTTAAAGCCTTGAGACTGAATAAAATCACACATAAAAATAACCATATAATAAAAAAACAACTTTATGCCTTCAACTTTGAAAAGTGGTGCCAAAAGATAACAACACACATTTCCAGTAGTATATGGCATGTTTTCTAAACATAGCTTGTCCCCCAAAATATCAACAACAACAAGAAAAGAAAGTGAATTGACAAAATCATGGTAATCTAACTTACATTCTCCAGTCTGGAATGACTTCTTTTGGGTGCAAGACTAAGCATGAAATAGTCATCCCTCTAGAAAGTAGAAAAACCTCTCCAGAAAGAAACCTCTAGATAACACTGTGGAGCCTACCTGGAAGCAGAGTTTCTGTGTGGAATTGGACAAATATTCCAATCTCACAGCCACCAGCTACATACCTTCTGGCTGGGTCCAGGGGTCCTGATATAAACTTTTGTGGGCATGTGTATGTGTGTGTGTGTTCATGTGTGTGTGCACAAGTCCAGCAAAGCAAAGCTCAGAACACCCTCAGAAAGAAAATGAACAATTCCCAGCCAAGGAATCTTGATCTCTAACCTTGACACCTCTCAATCAAAAAAAGAAATTATTTGTAAACCAAAAACAGACCTAAGATCTAGCTCAGCAAGAAAAACATAAACTTAACACTACACAATATTAAAGAGAAGTCTGGGGGGAGTTACTCATGTGAATTGGAAAAGATGGAAATGGTATAGCCATTACACAAGCATACTACAGTGTACTACATACTATATACGTGCATACTACCATACAGCATATGAGAGACACACACACACACAGAGAAACAGAAATAAATAAACAAAAATCCAGTCAGTCTAATCTAGAAAAAAAAATAACTCAGGAAATAGTATAGGATTTTCTAAATTTTTGGGGGGCTATGGAAAGAACTTAATAAGAATATAAATTTACTATACAAGAGTTCAAACACAAGATGACAAAATTACAGAATGAAATGGAGATGTAGATTGTAAAGCCAATAAAAAACATTGATAACTACAATATGAATATTGTAGTGCTTCTAAACAAAACATGAGGAGCAAGAAACAAAAAAGATACTGCTGAAAGTCATCTTAATGACACAGAAGAAAGCATTACAATAATCTTAATGAATTATAAAAATGCAGAGATTCTAGTCACTGGAGAGAAGACACACATCAAGGGTAAGAAGATCAGTGCTATAGCTAAATGTTTTGCCCTCCCAAATTTCATATGTTGAAATTGTAACCTCCAAAGTGATGGAATTAGGAGCTGCAGTCTTTCAGAGGTAATTATAATAAATGATGAGAGCAGAGCCCTCATAAATGGGATTAGTGCCCTTACAAAACAGACCCTGGAGAGCTCTTTCTCCTCAAGAGGTCTTTCACCTTTTGAGAATACCACGGGAAGGCACCATCTATGAACCAGGAAGTGTAGTGGACCTTCACCAGACACAGACTGTGCTGGTACCTTGATCTTGGACTTCCCACCTTCAGGACCATAAAAAATAAATTTCTGTTGTTCATAAGCCACCCAACCTGTGAGACATTTTTATGGCAGACATAACTGACTAAGATAATCAGACATAAATATAAGAGGAGAGATCCCTGCAGTAGAGAACTCCCAAAAGAAAAAACAATAAGATAAATAATACAGAAAATCAAGGAAGATACAAATCCATAGATCAAAAGAGTAAACTATGTTCAATGAAACTTTGATACAGAGTAATCAACATGAGCAAAATGCTGGTAAATAAACTTTAAGAATACAGGATTCTCCAGGCAGAGAAAATAGTGAATACTTCAGACAGGAAAACATAAACAAAAAAACACCTTTTGTAAAGAAGTAAAAGCTAGAATGCCTCAGACTTCTCCACTGCAAAATTAAATAGTAGGTATGTATATCTGAAGGTAAGTGGAAATTATTATTATAAATGAAAATAGAAAACAGTTTTGAATCAAAACAATCAAAGAATACAGTACCAATGAGCCCTTTCTTTAAAACGCTACTCAACCATAAACCCAGCCAGTAAAATATAAATCATTATAAATACCCCAGGAATTTTATTTACTTAACAAACTTATTGTGTTATTACTATTCTTAGGTGTTAACAATTTAATTTAATAAGACATCCATTACCTAATTTTGTCACTTTCATCACAGCTGATGGAGAAACCATGGAAAAATATTAATATTAAACAATTATAGATATTATGTTTATACAGCAGAAATGTAAATGTTCTAAACTAACAATGTAAAACTATAAGTAAAAATAATCAGTAGATTGTGGTAAGGAAGTGGAAGAAAATTTTTAAAATATTATTCCTTCATATTTCATATCAAGAAGTCAATTCATAATCTATAAAATTGGAAGATGCTGACTCCAGATTCTTAATGGTTTTCATACTACCCTTCCTGAACTTCGGAGGGATTTTTAGGTAACAAAATGCATCCCTGCGGGGGCGCCGTGGCTTACGCCTGTAATTCCAGCACTTTGGGAGGCCAAGGCGGGCGGATGACCCAAGGTCAGGAGTTCAAGACCAGTCTGGCCAACATGGTGAAACCCCATCTCTACTAAAAATACAAAAATTAGCGGGGTGTGGTGGCATGCACCTGTAATCCCAGCAACTCAGGAGGCTGAGGCAGGAGAATCTCTTGAACCTGAGAGGCAGAGGTTGCAGTGAGCCGAGATTGTGCCTCTGTACTCCAGCCTGGGAGACAAGCGAGACTCCGTCTCAAAAAAAAAAAAAAAAAATGCATTTCTGAAGGTCAACAATTTCTTTAATTATATTTGAATTTTTATTCTGTTAATTTAAGCAAAAATAAATATAACAATTTTAATATTAATGATATCATGTGTGGCAGTGTCCCATTCTCTTAAAAATGTCTATCTATGGAACATTTCTCTCAGTACATATACATAGACAGATATTTGGGATTATTTTTATGAAATAGTAAATACTGGTTATTACTAAATGTAAGATTTTTCTTTGTATATTGCTGTCAAATTTTCAGCATTTCTTAGATTTCTTATAATGAGTATGTGACATTTCTATAAAATGCAAAGTATCCATAGTTTAAAATTTTTAACATTAAAAAAATTTACATAGGGAAATCCATTCAACTTTATCTCTCACCTAACTGTTTATTTGTGTATCTCCCGGCCCTCAGCCTCATCAGCTGGTAATACCCATAAGCAATAAAATGGTAGTGAGATATCTGAGGATGGAGAGTGAAAGTTAGCATGGTTAACTTATAATAGGGATACACATTTGTTCCGGGTAATTGATAGTTGGGCATATTTGGGGCTAATACCATGAATTTTATGGTTCTTGAAAGTGTCATGCTTTTCCCCGATAGAGTGAACAACAAACTGGGCATATAACAGAAACACTTGAATGTCTAATATTATTTAATATATGATTCCAGCCTTGTATGATGGCACTAGGGACACTTAAGATCTCTGATAAAAGGTTGCTTCTAATCTTTTTTAAAAATTATTAATAATTCATATAATTATTATTAGATTGTGCTGTAAACAGAAGTGGATATTTCATTACATTTTGTGGCCATGGATGAGGACACAGTAGGCATTCAAATTAGCATGTTTCTTGGATTCGATTTAAACACTTACCTGTGTAAAATAAATGGGCAATAAACCAAATTACATAGAGGGGAAGGAGGGAAAAAAAACTTACCATACTTAATTGAATATTTCAGACCATGACCTATATTAAAATTGTAACTATAACCGGGAAAAGGGGGAAAAATGATTATTTTTAAAGACCCATCTTACCTGGGAAAAGAGCCATGGCTATTTCCTATTAAGCAGTAATTTGGGGTTCCCAAATTTGCCTGCACATTTGAAATCAGGTAGGGAGTTTGAAAAATACTAAAGACTAGGTACAGCCTTTAGAGATTCGTTTGTAATTGGCCCATACATCAGGATTTTTATCAGCTCTTGGGTGACTCTAATGTACAGCAAAGATAAAAAACCATGGTCCCAGAGGAAGCAGATGTTTATGGTATGCCTTAGGACCAACTATATCTAGCAAGCAATTTAAAGCATGATCACTTGACTAATAAGTGTAGGCTCCACGCTGAGAGAATGTGGTTTTAAGAGTCAATCCATCTGCAAGGCAACAACTTACATTAGCCAAAGAACTAATTAAGAAGAGTCACAAAATTAATGGAACTTGGTGGTATTCAGTTCTACTGGAAATTACTGAAAATAATAATATAGGTAGCATAAGTATAGTCACACTTTCTTTTTGTAAAATCCACTAAAAAGTGCAGGAATAATGAACAAAAACAACTTTCAATGCCAGTGTCTTGGCCGTTCAAGATTATTTGTCACAAACCCTCTATCTACTATCCTTTTTAAACAGCTAAGTGATTGGGTGCCATTCCCTGAATTTTATTTCGTTAGTTAATAACCTACACAAACTGTCAACAAACTTTTCCTGATCCCCACTCTAAATATGGATTTTCACCTATGGGCGGAATTATGGCTAAGAAAAGTTATCACTGGGATACTTGTAAAAGAAAAGCAAGCAGATATATGACGTAAAGGGAAACTTAGAAACGCAGAAAATCTAAGGAGGCTAAAAAAGAAATCCAATTATGAATTTAGGACATCAGTAAAAAAAGTCATTCTCTTATAATGGCCATTCCATATCACTTTACAATTTTAAAAATATCAGTGCCATCCACTATAATGAACAGTGTAGGAAACGTTACGTTTATGTGTCAATAATATAAACAGTTGCACCTACCCTCTGAAGTGATAAAGACACAGGCAAAGCAGCCAGTCGGTACACACCGCTTTCACTGCACCAGCAATTTCCTGGTAGTACTTGCTCTGAAGGGCTGTGTCCTGCATCACACCAGTTAAACATTTTTTTAAATTTAATACAGGATCAGTGGTATGCAAGCAAACCAACATGCCAGAAAAAAAAACAAAACCAAAACCAAAAACAAAACATTTTTGTATCTCTAGTGAGCTGAACAGTGGCCCCAAAAATTCACGTCCTGATTCCCAGAACATGTGAGTGTTACCTTATATCGCAAAAGAATGAGTATGACTTTATAAGGCAAAGTATGGAATGAAGTTAAGGATCTTGACGGGAGGAGCTTAACCTAATTAGTGGGTGAGCCCTAAGCATTAATATAATCACATGTATCCTTGTAAGAGACAAGCAACTGGAGTTTTGAGACAGAAGAAGGTAATGTGACCCAAGGCAGAGATTGGAGTGATGTGGCCGCAAGTTAAGAAATCCCTGGAGCCAGCAGAAGCTGGAAGAGGCAACGAATGAATTCTCCCCTTAGCCTTCAGAGGGAGCATGGTTCCTGCAAACATTTTGATTTTGGAATCCTATTAGAGCAACCACAGGAAACGAACACAGTAGCAATTGCCATTTCATGTGATGTAAATAATCTCATTGTGGCTGATTTTAAGCTACCAACATGAAATCAGTCACTGAACACAAAGTTGTTAAGGGATGAACAAATTAGCTCTCCTGAGCTGGTACGGGCCTGTTCAGTGCCTCACTGGCCTTGGAGATAAGTGCATCTTTTCAATACCCTTCTAGTTTCTTACTTGGCTTTCCTTTCCTTTCTTTCTATCAGAACCAATGAATTGGGGTATCCTGTGCATCCTGTCATATCAAAGTCACCCAAAAAAGACAAGAAAAATTACTTAAAATTCACTCAAAACAATGAACAAAAAGAAAGCTGAAATTTTTTCATAAAACTCAAACTAATACATTCTATTGATGAATTTAAATTGCCTAATAACCTAAAATGTATAAGCTACAAACTCACTTGCACTAAAATTCTGCCTCCACTTAGTCACTGGTGGACACTAGCTGTTTTCTCCTCACCTTCATGCAAAGTGATTCTTTCATAGTAAGTATTCAACAAAAGTTAGAATTGTTTCACTATCATCTACATTTGTGATGGTTAATTTTATGTGTCAACTTTAGGGGGCCATGGAATACTCAGATTAAACATTGCTTCTGGGTGTGTCTGTGAGGGTTTCTGCACGAGATTAACAAAGTGCCCTCCCCATTGTAGTTGGGCATCATCCAATCCATTGCAGTTCTGAACAGAACATAAGGCAGAGGAAGGAAGAATTTGCCCCTTTTCCTGCCTTACTGCTTAAGCCAGGCGATCTCATTTCATCTTTTCCTACACTTAGGTAACATTGGCTCACATGGTTCTCAGGCCTTTGGACTCAGACTAAATTATGTCATCAGCTTTCTTGGGTCTCCAGCTTGCAAACAGCAGATATCATGGGACTTCTCAGCTCACATAATGATGGGAACCAGTGCCTCATAATGAATCCAGAGAGAGAGAGAGAGAGAGAGAGATTGATTCAGTTTATCGGTTCTGTTTTTCCAGAGAACCCTAAGACAAGATCACTGATGACAGTAATGGTAGTAGTAATGGAAAAAATACTGGTAATAGTAATAACACTTGTACTAAAGATGGAATAGACAATTTTATTCATTTGCTGATATAAAGAAAAAAAGTAAAGTTGGAGATCAAAAACCACTGACCAAGGAGCTGTGCAAAAGCAATTGTCACATGTAGGGGATCCAGCTTTTGGAAGTTAGAGGAAGAAGAGGTAAGAGAAAGAGCAGAGGGGTTAGCATGAGGAATTTTGTGGCAAGAAATGTCTACAGATGACTTGGAGGAGGCTGAGCCATGTCATATGCTGGGCAGCCAGGAAATGTGCAGCAAGAGGTGCCCGTTGTCCTCCAAGGACATCAAACGTATCAAACTAATGTTCTGGAGCTAAACATTAGTTTGACAGGCAAAATTAGATTTCAAGGTAGTCGAGAATGATTCAGGTCACATACTGCTGCTTTATAGTGTTACCTGGCAGAATTAGGCTGGCAGAATTAGTAAAGAATTGAGCAATTATTTGGGGACTTCACCAGTGAAGACAACCAATTAGTCTTTTTTACTCCATAGAATAAAGAACCATTAATTGAATTCCTCAAATAGTTTCCCAGCCTAAATACCTATTTTCAGGTCTAGTAAAAGAGAAGATGAAGGCAAATTTTTCTTAAATCTCTTTACTCTCTGTAATTCCAGAGTTTAGATTTCCTCAGTTTTCTTGCCCATTGGCTACAAAAATAAATAAATAAAGCTGCTTGTCCACATTTAGTTCTAGGCCAGATGATATTCCAAAGCTTTACTCTCCCACTTTTGGTTAGAAGGCAATCAGGTGGACATGGGTTTGGGCTGTAATCCCAAAAGACACACAATCCGAAATGTTTAAATACAAAAGGATCAAAATTTCTAAAGTCTAACATCCCCAAAATCACAATCCTAAAAGACCAATAGCTCAAAAATATAAATCTGAAAAACATAATAAAAATTTTTTAAAATACATTTACTTACATTTTAAAAGAGAATTTATTTGAGAAACATATAAAACCACAACAGAACACTTTATAGGCCACTACACAATCAATAGGCAATAATAACCTACATATTTTTGCAAGCATAAATAGTTATAGTAATAATGGGTACATGGATATAACAATTATGAGCAGACAAACCATATTTATAAAGAAATCGGTCAAAAAGCTAAATATACAAATGCATATCACCATGACTGGTGATTGTGTGCACACAGCTTTATAACTGTGGTCATCTGAAATACCATGACAGACAACATATCTTTTGACGAGATTGATCGAAAACCACAATGGGTCACCAGCACATATATGGTCACCCAAAGAGCCAAGATCTCAAGAAATTTTATCTTTTACAAGTTCACATGTACAAAAAGAACATTTCTTCATTTATTGAGAAAGTCTCAACATTTTTATCTACATGCACAATGATTACATGCAAAGTGAACATTGTGATAATACACTTTCATGGTGTCAAATTTGCAAAAACAATGCATAGAACAAATTAGAACTCTGTAAAAGTCTTTACACAATGCGTACTCTAGCACCAGGAATGATGTGAAGATAAAACACAGCATAGTGAATTGGCGCTATGTGTGAAGAGGCACAAGTCATATTCAATTGAATAATTTGGCAGGGGAGATTTCTTGTCCTTTTTGATTGTATTTTCACTTCTGTGATCTTCAAAACACTCTGCACTTGTACTTGGAGAGTGGTTGTGGTCTACAAGTTTTCTAAGTATATGCTGTCCATTTGAAAGTTTGGCTATTGCTTGGCCATTGTAATTAAACAATTTTCTGCTTTTGCAGCACTAATAATAATTTGCTTTTACATGTTTCACCATTAAGTAGTCTCATACACTTACCATATCGCAGTCTTTTTGCAAAGGAACAATTTCACAGGTCTCTCCCATTATGTTATAAGGAGTACAGTAAGAAAGAATGACATTTGCCTTTCCCAATACCAAATCTGTATTAGTTAGGATTCTTCAGAGAGACAGAACCAATAGGTTATGTATATAGATATGTGAGGGGATTTTTAGGGGAATTGACTCATGTGATTAGGGTGTCTGAGAAGCCCCACAATAGGCCATCAGCAAGCTGGAGACCCTGGGATGCTGGTAGCATGGTCTAGTCAAACCCCAAAGCCTCCGACCCAGGGAAGCTGATTGTGTCGTTCTCATTCTGAGGCCAAAACCTCAGGACATGGGGGACTGCTGATGTAAGTCCTGAAGCCCAAAGGCCAGTGAGCCTGGAGATCTGATCTCCAAGGCACCCAGAAGCAAAGTCTGTCCCAGCTCTCAGAGAGAGACCAATTCACTTTCTGAATTTGTTCTCTCCAAGGCCCCTAGCTGACTGGATGGTGTCCAGCAACACTGAGCGCTGATCTGCCCCTACCTAGTCCACTCAGACTCACACATTCATCTCCTCTGGAACCACCCTCACAGACATGCCCTAAATAGTGCTTTACCAGCTTTCCAGATATCCCTTAATCCAGTCAAAATCGATGACACCTAAAATTAAGTCCACAAGTCCACTTCCTCTCAACTTGGCACCCATAGGCATCTCCTTAAAACGTACTTAATTTCCAAATAAAGACAATAACAATGTAATAGTTCCGTCTAACATGATGCAACTATCCTGCATACCAAGAAAACTGATGGATCACTTCCCTAGAATGTGGCTTTCAGAATTTCCACATTGAGAACACATGGGCATAGAGAGGAGAATAAGCACACACCAGTGCCTGTTGGGGAGTGGGGGTGAGGGGAGAAAGCTTAGAGGGCGGGTCAATAGGTGCAGCAAACCACCATGGCACACGCATACCTATATAAAAAACCTTCACATTCTGCAAATGTATCCCATTTTTTTAGAAGAAATAAAGAAAAAAAAGAATTTCAACATTTGAATTTTAATATTTTGGGATTGTGATTTCCAGAATTTTAGATATTAGGGATTTTAGACTTTAGGGATTTTGATCTTTTGTGATTTCAACATTTGGGATTATGGTGTTTGGGATTGTGTCTTTGGGGTTAGGACTGACCCCAGATGGAAACAATATTCTCTGAGCAGTAAAAGTTGCTGGTGGGTAATGGGTGTCCTTAATTATAATTGAGTGTGTTCCAAGAAAACATGCCTTTTGGTGTCATTCTGATTTTTATTTTCCTCCCCATGTGTATCATGTCAAACAAGTAAAGTAAATTTGACACCAACGTTGCAGAAATAAAATAGGTAATACAATATATCCAGTCCCTGTCCTTACTTTCCACCCTTCAGTCCCTGATATAAGGGACTTTTCACTGACATAGTTCTACAGGCTGATTTCAAAAGTCAAGCTCACTTAGAGTACCATTGGACTTTTATCTGATGAATAATGGTATTGGAAAACATCATTCCGCATCTTTTTCTATGCATGATTGCCATGTAGTGCTCACATTTACTATAACACCTCTTCCAAAATCCTGCTGTTGATACTACCAGGCAAGCCTTTCTAAACAGGATAACTCCTGTTTAGAAATCTAAGTCAAGTGGAGAATATTTTAGAAGTAAAGACGCTCCCAGATCTACTGGCCACTTTCAGGTAGTCTTTAAAGGCCTTCAGGTGGTCCTGATCCTCACACAGTCTGGGCAATCACTGCCCTGCCTCACTTTGCTCAGCACCTTGGAAATGTTTGCTGTGGCAACATTTGCTTCTGGAGCACTTTTCAAGTGTCCACTGCAATAGAATGGAGGACTGTAGAGAGATTTCAGATCTCATGTAAATAGAACATAAGTTCTCTAGATACATTCTCTTCATTCTTCTTCATCCTTCCCATGTTCCCTTTGCTTAGGACTGCCTGAGACTTTATTATAACAATCCCACAAGTGCCTTGAACAGACTATGGGAAGGAGGATGAAGGAAGAAACAGAACATACATACATGTATGAAGTATCAAAAACAAACAGAAAAATAGAAACCTTAAAAAATTGTGTGTGCCAGATACTTTGCGAATTTTATTCCATTTAACACTAAGAGGTGAACTATTATCATCAACCTGATTTTACCTCTGGGGTAAGAACTATTCAGTACATTACAGGGTTATGTAGCTCCCTGAGTTGTAAAATGAGGAACTGGACCAGGCAGTATAAGTTCAGTAACCACATGCTGAACCTCTAAGCTGTCGTGCCACAAAATAGGGCAGGACAGTCAAACCGAGACATTTCAGCACTGGGTGTGAGCTAGGGGAGCAGACACAGACCACCATGGTTTCTCACCCAAGCAGTAAGATGGACTGAGGTTGGGCACCTTCAAGAATCATGGAAGCGTAATAGAGGAGGGAACATCCCTAGTCAGTTCCTGCTTCCAAATCTCAGGTCTGGGGAACAGAGTACATCTTTGCTCCCATTAGTGAAAATAACTTTATTTGAAAAAAAAAAAATCCCTGGTAAATATGGAACCACCGCAGGTGCCCTTCTAAGACTAATGAGCAACAGGACCCATCGGATAGCTCTGTTTCTGGGGAATCACTGCAGGTTGGACCGGAGTAGCAATAAGTACCAGTCAAAACTCAGCAGATGTGATTTCAGCCTCTTTTCTGTGGAGACACTGTGTGCCCAAGTGCAGCACTTAGTACTTCTGTGTTCCGGACCCTGCTCACAGCTGAGAGAACAGTAAATAACATAATGATTTATTAAAAACAGACACGTGAAGAAGTCACTCAATTCTTCAGGCATGTTAGGAGGGAATGGATTTACTTAGGAAGAGAAAGGAATTAATACCTGGAACATGTGTGTCAGGCCAGTCCCAATTTGGGGAGAAGTTAGAAAAATCTCACTTGACCAAAGGACTCTTCAAAATGTAACTTTGAAGATGTAATGGTTATTAAATTAAAATGCACTATTTTTGTGCATGCCTTTTATGTACCACAGCAACTCATTTCCTTTAATGTTCAAGCACTATTGTTACAACACATCTTGACTAGAATTTCTGTGGCCCTTGTGCCAGAAATACTCATGACACAAAAGGTCTGGGTTATTCACGGCCATCACAATTCTTTTGGTTACCATTTCTATTCCGAAACGCAGGAAAATTCCCCTTTCAACGTCCCAGGACACAGACACCCATTTTTCAGAATGCAAAACATAATACAGCAGAGAAGAGGCTTATTGGAATAGAAGAGAGAAGAGAGCAGGGGAAGAGAAAACCCTTTTGTAGACATTCCCTTAATGAACTGTAAAATCTGAAAAAAAGTGCAGATACAATAAAATTATATCTAATCATGAACATGCCTGATGTAAAATACTACTTTTTTCTTTTTTGCTATTTTTACAGGGTCATTTTCCAGTTTACAGAGAACAATACCCAGAAGTGTCAACACACTTGTTCTGCCCTCCCCTTTCCTTCATTTTCCCTTACTTTTCTTTTGCTCCTGCACGTCACCTCACTCCACTCGCTCTAGGCCCTTGGTTCATTTCTGCATCCAACCTTGTGGCCAAACCTGGTGAAATCCCCTCGTGGTCCTGTCCTGGGAGGGCCAAAACTGGCAGAACTTTACATTCTTTATGGTAGACTATCAAAAACAAAAAAGCTTTTCTTATGATATTGTCTCTCAAAATAGCCCCAATGAATATGTATGCTAAAATTAGTACTCACTTTCCATCAAAAATAAGACAGAGAAGAAACAAAAAGGTAAAGGGACAAAGACCACATAACCAAGAAAAGCAGCATCAACACAAAGTCCCATAACTTCCCACAGCCCGCGCCTCGGTGCCCTTCAATGAGGATTTCCAAATGTCCCTTGATGAGAAACTGTTTTCAAACCTGCATCCTCTGGGCTCAAGTTCCTCGCCTCCAAAAAGTCTGCTGCACTGCCCTCTGCTGGAACATCAGTTCACCATGCTGGGATTCTCAGGTACCTGCGCTCTCTCAGTAACAATCTCTGCCCTTTCCAGTGGGCACAACTTGACCAGAAGTGCCACCCTTTGTAGGAACACTTAGCCGTTTAAGGTTGAGCTACTCATGATTATCAGAAGCTCATGTAAAATGGGGTCTCCGTGAGTCCTTATTTGGGGAATGGTCAGAGGAAGCAGGGCTGAGGAAGGGGAGAGAATGAGACAGGGAAGGAGGAAAAGCCAGTACAAGGGCGTGTCATCAAGGGGCTGCAGTGGGCAAAGGTGCTTGATTCCACAGGATCTCAGAGAAGCACATGGACTCTCACCCCGCATTGGTCAAGGGTTGCCCCACAGAATAATCTTCTCTGCACTTCAGGACCCCTCTTGTGAGCAAGAGCTGATCTACCTCCCTTGACTTTGGAGAAAGCTCTGAGGCAGAGATACAAGAGGAAATCAACTAAATTGACTATATCAAACACGTTCCTATGTACCCATACCCCACAAAAAAAAAGAAGTGTGTGCCATAAAATGTGAAAAGACTCATAATTTTGTTTCTGAAATTACTATCCAGTTGAGATTGCAATTTTTGTTATCTTCTTTTATTCATTTTTAACTGAAACATAATAAATGTGTATACACAATTACGAGAT